>NC_000003.12:80616060-80919090 GCF_000001405.40 Homo sapiens
CGTGTCCTTTCCAGGGACTTGGATGAAGCTGGAAACCATCATTCTCAGCAAACTAACACAGGAACAGCAAACTAACACAGGAACAGAAAACCAAACACCGCATGTTCTCACTCATAAGTAGAAGTTTAACAATGAGAACACATTGGCACATAGAGGGGAACATCACACACCAGTGACTGGGGGTTAGGGAGCCTGTTGGGGGTTGGGGGGCAAGGGGAGGGATAGCTATAGGAGAAATACCTAATGTAGATGACAGATTGATGGGTGCAGCAAACAACCATGGCACGTGTCTACCTATGTAACAAACCTGCACGTTCTGCACATGTATCCCAGAACTTGAAGTATAATAAAAAAAATCTGTAGTATATCTAAAGTCTTTCATTTTAATTTTAGTTCATTTCATTTAACAATTTGCCAGCCAAAAGAGGGCTATGGCAGCAAGGAGATGGTTAGGGGATTGTACAAATTATTTCAACCATCCTTTTCTCTATGTTCTCTGAAATGGCTATTAATAGTATTGGATTTCCTGGATTAATTATCATGATTGATTTGTATTTCAAAGTGTGAATTTTATTGTATTTCCTTAATTTTGTAATTTAGCTACTCCTGATATTTTCTTTTAGCAATCAAAGTTTTAATTCCAAATAACCCATACTTACACACAAATTTTCCTTTCTCTTTTTAAATAACAGTCTATCATTCATTACTTAATCTGTTTGATCTGCAGATTTGAATTCTTATCCGCAATCTCAGATGCACAGCATGCGACAACCAAGCGATAGCGTCTAATCGAACATAGCCTAAGAGACTTCTTCCATTCTGCCTCATTCGTAAGCTGCTATTCATTGTCCTAACACTAATTCCCATCCATCATAAGAGAAACTGATTTCTCTTTGTTTCCTTTGGGAACCAAAGCCTCTGATACCCAGTTTTATCACTCACGAGTTTTACCTTAAACACCAGAATGTGATTCAGCCATTTTTATTTTACTACTTTATAACAAGGATGGCCTTTCCTTCGTTACCCAATAATATGTGCTTCATTTCCATTTGATACTTCATCAGAATGGTCTTTGCCATTCCTATTTCTAGCAAATTCTCTTCAGGCTTACATAAGTATTCCCTAAGAAGGTTGAGTCTTTCTCAATAGTCTTCTTTCTGAGTCTTCACCAGAGTGACACTTACCAGTACATTCAGGACAATAGAGGCTTTTTCTAGCATGCACTCCAAAATTTTTCCAGCCTGTACCCATTACCCACTTCCAAAGAACACAGTAGTTTTTGTAAATATTACTAAATAGTAATAGTATATACTTCCAAATTGATAATCAATTTACTGTAACTTCTTCAATGTATGAGAGTTTTCGTTTCTCAAAAGTTATCAGATAATAATTTGCCAATCTAATATATTAAATCATATCTAATTTTTGCTTGATGTGTGCTTCTTTCATTACTCTTAGGTTTGATTGTATTTTGTACTCTTTTTTAATACTCTGAATATGTCAAAATATCCTTTCAGTTTTCTGCAGGTCCTGCTCATTCTCATCTATAAGATCTTAACACAAATAACATTGCTCCAGAGAAGTTAGTTTGGATTATCTTATATGTGGTTTCTAATTACTTTTTTTCTCATCTCTTTGAAAATGTCTTTTATGACACTGATCACAACTTGTACTGTCTTGCCTAATTATTTGTTAATTGTTTACATCCTCTGTTCCACAACCCACAAATCAATGTACTCCATGTTGACATGTATTATAACTCTTTTGTATACCATAACCCAACGTCAAAAAGAACTTCACACGTAGTATTATTACATAAGTTCTTGTGCCATAAATTAATTAATCATAAAACAATTATGTGCCAACTGTAGAAAATTTCAACTAGAGTATAATTTCCAGGAAAGGAAAGATTTTTTCCTATTAATTAATGAACTAAAAAAGTGCCTGGTATTTAATATATATTTAATATTTATTTATGAAATTGAATTATTTTGATTCCTCAGAAGTTGCTTAAGGTTATCTGCTATTTTTAATCCAAATAATATATAGTTAAAATTGCTAAAAATCACATAAATAGAAAAAGTATTATTTCCAAATTAAATAAGTATTGGGTGTTACATCACACACACACACACACGCACACACATACACACACACAAACTTTATCTCTGCAACTTATATTTTGAGGGCTAATTTAAATCATGGTGAAGATTTTCCTTTAAACAAAAAAATTAGAGAAAAAAAGATAAAGTCGATATTAACATATTAAATCAGTGTTGGTGGACAATTGAACTAGATCATGAAGGATCATCTTTAGAGCCTTTCTAAACATAAAATAACTTCGTTATTTTGGCGAGTACATGAAACAGCTCACAAATGAGCTGACACTTTGCAGGAAGCAATTATTGCCTAAGGTAGGAAGTTTAAATGTTTGCTTTTCTTTTATGCATCATGAAGGGGGAAAGGTCTTCCTATAAGTAAAAAAGATAATGACGTTGACACAAAGATTATAAAGAGCCATATTGCTTTGAAAAACTCTCTGAAATTCTAGTTAAAGATCAAAACACTCTTTTACAAAGCACATCTGAACAATGTGTGATTGGAAGATGGCAAGAGTTGTACTACCAAATCTTTGCTGGTAGTACAGCTTTTCCACATATTAAATCATCCCTCCTTCCTTTGTTTTTCTTTTTTGAATGGTTGTATCAGAACAAAGAAAGCTGATTATATGTCTTCCTGTAGGGAAAAGAGATCAAACTACTCAATGTGATGGTTTATGTATATAAATATACTTGTGTATATAAATACCAGTTTCTTCTTATTGTTTAGCTGGATCTATGTGTGTCACACTTTTACACTTTTGCATAAACCAGCAAGTTTGCTACAGCTAACAAAGCCAAAAGCATTGCTACAGATGTTCTTTTTGTTAATTGGAAAATAAACTTAATGAAAAAAATTAAGTTATTCTACTCAGCTTATCTATGCTGGGCAGCTGGTTTAACTCAGTCCTTCATCATGCATCTCAAATGCTCCATCCAGGACAGCAGAACAGCCTAGGCACGTCCTCAAGATAATGCGAGGGACACACACTTGCAAATAGAAACCTACCCATAAATCACCTCCAAAAGCCTAGGCTTAGAACGGGTATATTATTTACTTCTACTTCAGTCCTTGACCAAGCGCACATAGAGCTAAGGGGTAAAGCTGGTCACTCTGCACATGGTGAAAAGACATTGTCCAAAAATGTGGACATAGACAATAAAAAGAAGGAAGGGATTGGATCTATGGGTGCATTGACTGGTGCTTTTGTAACTCCTTCTAGCAATGTTAACTTATTTTAAAATACAGGTTAGGAAAGAGAAAACATTTCTGAGAACTTTGGTCTTTAAACTGTCAAATGTATGGGTCTAGATACCTACATTAGGGCAATAACTACAATGGAAGTCTAATAGTTTATGGTAGAGACATTAGTTTTTCCCTTTTAATTGCTGTAAGCCTTTCTGGTTATAATTCTTATTTTTAGAGTCATATGATTATGCTATTATAGGCTACTAAGGGCTTGATAAGAATATACTGATTTAAACATTATCACTAGTGCAAAGGAGTATCAGATTAAACATTAAATCCTTAAGTAATTAACTTAATAAGTTGCTTTAAAGAAAATACCATGACAATCTTCACTTAACTGGAGTTAAATCATTTTATCTAATTTTGTAATTTTATTTATTGATAGAAAAATATATAGCATGAGACTCTGTAATGTGCACAGTTTTCTACATCTTCACTTTTTGCAGTTATCCCTAACTGGTTTAATATATCTTAGTAAACTAAAATTCTATTTAACATATACTGTAGAATTAAGATCACCAATTCAAAGAGCATGATATATGCTAACTCCTATATAATGTAGTCATCAATATTGACAGCCTGCAACCTGTTTTCGAAGTTAAAGAAACAAGATTTTGACAATATGTTATCTAAACTGTTTGTATAAAACAAAATATTTTTGCCAAACTAAGTGTTTTTGAATTGAAATTCTAAATAATGCTGTTAGGTTAAGAGACTTAGTCCCAAAAGCTGCATACATTGTTTCTGAAATCATACAGGAAAAGAGAGCCATATAAACACACAAAAAAATGTGAAAAGTGCATTACTCCAGAAACGTATACACTATAGTACTCATCTGTAGAAAGACTCTTGAGTTCTAACATTGCCTCATATATTTTTACTATCTTTTTCAACACAGTGAAGGGTGGTTACTCATGCTTTTGGCAAATGCAGAAATTGAGGCTGGGAACTAAATAAATGAGATCAGGTATCAGTGTAATAAGCATTATTATATACATATGAATTCAGTTCTCTTTTAGCTTATATAAAAGGTACTTCATGTGTGAATTAGGTTTGGTAAATATAATGAGTCCGTCAATTAGTAACTGGAGCCAGAAAATTTTAAGTGCCCTTTCTTTGAAAATTCATATGGGATACTGAACAAAAAGTGGGACAGAAAAGTAAGAGTCTAGTAAAAATATTTGCAACCGTGGATAAGCAAGTTTAAATTTAAAACTGCTGAAAATCTTCACAATACCACCACCAGGTAGGCATGTTTATAACTACGTACAGAAAAATACACTCAGCAACACAATTATAATTTTAATTCGTATTTTAAAATCAGGATACAATCTCCAACAAAATAAAATACATAGAAGAAAATATTAAATTTTTGTATCATGTAAAGATATGAAAATTTGTTGTAAAGTCCAAAAAGCTAAACACGGTCTCTGCTTATTACTCTGGGATCGTTGCTTACTATCCCCATTCCTCATTCCCTGGTGTTTTGTTTTGTTTTGTTTTGAGACAGCGCCTCGCTCTTTTGCCAGGCTGGGGTGCAGTGGTACAATCTCGGGACACTGCAACCTCTGCCCCTTGTGTTCAAGCGATTCTCCTGCCTCAGCCTCCCAAGTAGCTGGGATTACAGGTGCCCGCCACCACGCCCAGCTAATTTTTGTATTTTTTTTCAGTAGAGATGGGGTTTCCCCATGTTGTCCAGGCTGGTCTTGAACTCCTGCCCTCAGGTGATCCAATCTCCTTGGCCTCCCAAAGTGTAGGATTACAGTTGTGAGCCACTGTGGCCGGCCTCCCTGGTCTTTAAAATACTCACAGCGTATACACAAACACAAAACAAACAACAACCAGGTCACATTAAATATACCTCAGTTGCTGCACTCTGCCATGCTATCTCTTGCCATGATTTCACCCACGTTGATCCCTCTACCAAGATAACTTTTTCTTCTTGCCTTCATCTCTTTTACCTTTTTGGATGTCTCTTCATTTTTAACTATTTTATTACTATTATTATTATTATTATTATTATTATTATTATTATTTTGAGACGGAGCCTCGCTCTGTCGCCCAGGCTAGAGTGCAGTGGCGCGATCTCGGCTCACTGCAAGCTCCGCCTCCCAGGTTCATGCCATTCTCCTGCCTCAGCCTCCCGAGTAGCTGGGACTACAGGCGCCTCCCACCATACCCAGCTAATTTTTTGTATTTTTAGTAGAGACGGGGTTTCACCGTGTTAGCCAGGGTGGTCTCGATCTCCTGACCTTGTGGTCCGACCGCCTTGGTCTCCCAAGGTGCTGGGATTACAGGCGTGAGCCACCACGCCTGGCCTTATTTTTTAAAGGAAATCATATCATGCCTGTAATCCCAGCACTTTGGGAGGCCGAGGTGGGCATATCACGAGGTCAGGAGATCAAGACCACCCTGGCTAACACGGTGAAACCCCGTCTCTACTAAAAATACAAAAAATTAGCTGGGCTTGGTGGCAGGCGCCTGTAGTCCCAGCCACTCGGGAGGCTGAGGCAGGAGAATGACGTGAACCCGGGAAGCAGAGCTTGCAGTGAGCTGAGATCGGGCCACTGCACTCCAGTCTGGGCGACAGAGCGAGACTGTGCCTCAAAAAAAAAAAAAAAAAAAAGGAAATCATAACAATTAGCATTATTTTTTGTGATAAAATTAAATGAGTTAATGCTTGCAAAACACATAGGCTAGTTACAGAAACATACAAAGGGTAATATATATTATTTTAAATATTACTACTCACCCTACAGATATCTGCCTAAGAATCATTTCCATCTGCAAGTCTCCTCTGGCCCTTCTAATAGTATGCTTACATCCCAAATGTGCAACATCTATGTGCCCTGACATATTTCATGTTGTGTTACAATTGTGAGTTTACTTATCTGTATACTCCCTTCACTCGTCTGTAACATCACTGAGAAATGGTTCTCTTTTTATCTCATATAATAACTATCAAAAAGAGAAAAATAAAGATGATATGCAAAAAACAACATGCATTGTGGCATGCCAGAAGATGATACGGGCTGTAGACTAATCCCTATCTAAATTGTTTGAGGGCCGCCAATTTAGTTTTTGAAAGATGAAGTGAAAAACATTTATGGTGATTAAAAAGAAAGGCCAAAATGCTATCAAAAAAACTGGGTGAAAAGCACCCGAAATTATAAAGATTGAGTATACATATATATACATTTGGAGAAGAAAAAAAAAATTAAAAATTCAGTTACAGTGGCATATTCACAAACTGTGTTAATCAGGGTTATACAGAGAAACATAACAAATAGAATATTAGGTATGGATTAGATAGAAAGAGAGAGAGAGGGAGACGGAGCGGGAGAGGGAGGGAGAGGGAGGGAGGGGGAGAGGGAGAGAGAGAGAGAGAGAGAGAGAGATTTATTTTAAGGAATTGCCTTATGTAATTTTGGAGTCTGGCAAGTCACAAATCTGCCAGGTCGGCCAGAAGTTGGGAGACCCAGGGAAGAAGTCATGTTGTAGCTCCAGTCCAAAAGTAATCTGCTGGCCCAATACCTTGTCCTCCAGAAGACATCTGTCTTTTTTCTCTTAGAGTCTTCAAGTAATTATTAGAGATGCATTCCCACATGATGGAAGGTAATCTGCTGTATTCAAAGTCTACTGATTTAAATGTTACCCTTTAGAAATAACTACACAGCAACATCTAGACTTGCATTTGACCAAATATCTGGGTACTAGGACCTACCTAAGTTGACACATAAATTTAACCATCACAACACTGGAAAAGTGAGGTTTGAATTAATTTTTTCTCTCTAGGTTTTAGCCCACTGGCCAGTTATTTAGTCTCCTTCGTTTCAAAACAAAAGTCATAATGAGACCAGGTTTGGAAAATGAGGTGCCTGATGGAATCTGCCTGCCCTAGGCCTTACTTTTGAAGAATTAATGGCTACTTTTTATTCATAGTAGTATTCCTGTTATTAATTAGAGTAATTCTGTGCTGTATTTTGCTGTTATAAGCACAGACTTTCAAGTGATGTAATCAACAACTTCCACAGCCTTATATTCCAAAGACCTGAATCTAAATTATTGAATATCATTAGTAAAGCAATTCTAATCAAATATTCACAAACTCTTGTGACAGCCTTCAAATATCTACAGAAAAGCAAAGAAAAATTTATCATTGTAAGTATTACAAGGTCATTATTAATTAAAAAGAAAGGTGTTTATAAAACAGACTAGTGCATGGCAGATGGCACATTCACAATAAATGATATTGTTATTTTGATTACCACTTCATCTTTCTGTTAGAAGAGCAAGCAAGTAGGAGAATAAGAATAAAAATCACATCAATGTGGACTAAGGCCTATCTTAATCCATGCATAAACTTATGCATTACATAATATACTTTTACACCTTCCAAATGTTTGCATGAAAACATACTAAAATATAATGTCAAACTGTTAAAAAATAAATGAACAAGAAAGTTACATTACCACAATTATCTTAATATCTTGTATAGAGAAAGAAATTAACTTCAGAGTATTCTACCAAACTCAATGTGTATCTTGCAATTACATATTTCTTGTTATAAAAGAGATTGATTCCTAATAATATAGCCACATATGAGTCTAGCTTGTCAGTGCAATATGCCATCAAAAGGGGAAAATAACTACTTAGGGAGAAGTTAGGTAAAGAGCTCTTTAGGCTGACCTTTTGCTGATAAATTGATGATGTTCTCATTAGCAGCAACCCTGCTATTTGCCCTCAATAAAAGATAACATCCTGCTGTTAACGTAATTTCCATTTTTGTGATTTAATGACACAATTATATTGAAGATACTTTTTCCAAATGGATTAGGGTTTAAAAGAAGGTAAAAATGTTTTAAACATTTGTATTCTGTTTTCCCCAAACCAAATAATGTTTTTCACATTGTGTGATTATATACGATAAATACATCAGAAAGGTGGGTGACACTCAAGTCATTTTTAAATATACTTGCTACTAAAAATAATGGTTATTAAACCTTGTATTATAAATATTTTAATATTTTTGTCTTCTGGTACAGCTGGCATTATTGTCCATAGGATAGTCAATTTATTTTGTACCGTGAAAAATATTACATCTTTTTCTCTGAAATTCAGATAACTCTTTTCATAATTTAACTGAATCCTGATATGGCAAAAGCCTGGTCATTAGATATATTTTCAGAAGGGAAGCAGCATATCATTATGGGGAGAGCAGAGACTTTGAAATCTGGCAGATATATGTTTAAATTTTGGCTTTAACCTTTATTAGATAAGTGATTTTGAACAAATTATAGTCCCTAGAAAAATATTAGTTTTTTTCATCTGATTACGTAGTGAATGGAAAATTAGATAATGGATATAAATCACATGGTTTATAACTGATGCCAAAGCTCAGGCCTTTTAACTTGGGGCATCTAATGATTTAATGAAAGAGGACACCAAGGAAGGAGTTTCTTTCATTGTTGAGTCTCTTGCCTTGATTCATGGGACAATTAAATAATCCATAAATTGTGATATATATATATGTGTATATATATATGTTTCTGTGGGAATCATTTTTTCTTTATTTTATTATGATTCAAATGTTTGTCCATAAAATACTATTAGTATATTTCTTAATTGTACTGGTCAGTTTGTTTTTGAGAAAAGGACATAAAAAAGAAAAGCTCAATAGAAATCATGTAAATATTGAACACTTGTAGAGCATTGTGGCTCCTATAATCAATTCCAAAGTAAAGACAAGGCTTTTATCAGACTGTCCTCCCACCACTGCCCCCCCGACACACACACGCACACTTTCCCATAGACATGAGTACCTGGACAAGAAAAGACAGACAGTGGCACCTTAGTTGGGCAACTGCTGTACTCAGAGGAAAAACAGGGATCCGCTAAAAGGCAAAAGCCAGCAGAGATTGCTGTCCCCTGTAGGGTGCAAAAAAGATATTGTTGGCTGGTGAAGTACTAGAATTTCTAGTAGAAACAGACACTGTTATGACCAAGGCAGAAACATCTTAGAATTTCCCAGAAATATTAGGGGTCAGATTTTGCAGATATTTAGATGTCTATTGTAAACAATCAGAGACAGAAAGCGGCCAAAATCTGAAAATATTTGTTTTCAAAGTTATGTAATAACATAGCTTTCTATAACTGTATGGCATGTTACCATTGTGCTGTTATAAACAATAGAGATTTGCCCTTTAAAAAACAATATTCTATGTATGTATATATATATGTATGTGTGTCTATATATAGGATATAGAAACATTTATATGTAAGGTAGCAAATATAATATATATTAAATTGACCGTGAAATATGTGCATCTGTAGATTCAAGTAGATCTGTATATTTAAGTACACCATGAAATATGTGAATCTGAAGAAAAAATGTTTAGAAGCAGCACATCTCTAAACAATGGCAAAAGTCTGAATTCTGCAATTCATTTTTCTATAAACCAATATATAAATATTTCAACATTCTGCACATTAATATTGTAATATGCTAAAACTGTTACATTTTAGTATGCCAAAGTGATCTCTTGAAAGCATTTTTTTTTTTTTTTTTTGAGATCGAGTCTCACTCTGTCACCCAGGCTGGAGTGCAGTGGTGCAATCTCAGCTCACTGCAACCTCCGCCTCCCAGGTTCTCGCCATTCTCCTGCATCAGCCTCTGAAGTAGCTGGGACTACAGGTGCCCGCCACCAAGCCCAGCTAATTTTTTGTTTTCATATTTTTAGAAGAGACGGGGTTTCACTGTGTTAGCCAGGATGGTATCGATCTCCTGACCTCGTGATCTACCTGCCTCGGCCTCCCAAAGTGCTGGGATTACAGGCGTGAGCCACCGTGCCCGGCCACAGGCATATTGTTAATACCTCATGTAAATATAAATAATTTAACTCATCATTTTACTACATAAAATTTATTGTTTAAAGTTATTGAATTATTAATACACTGCATGTATTATATAAGGTAGATATTTTCATCAACTACATTGGAAACTTTAACTGTAATATTTTCTGAACTTTTATAAAACATGAGGGTTTGTTTTTACATTATTTATACTGTGAATTCAACATTAGCAGATTGTTGAGAATACAATTAAAAACTCATAGTATTATTGAACTCATTGTATATATTTAAATAAGAATAAAATATTTTTTACTCCAAAAATGTTTACTCTTCCATGGTTGTTTAGTTCAAGATGGACCAGTGATCACTCACTTCAATTTTGAACAATCCTTTTAACTTTCTATAGCAAAGGCTGTTAAATGAAATAATATCTATAATTACGATTTTCCTATATTTTTTAAATTTAGAACTTTATATTTCATTTAATCAACCATCTTTAATCTTTCATAATTTTTTTTTTTTTCGGAGACAGGAGTTTTATTATTCAAATCAGTTTTGCCCAAGCATTCCAGGATCAGAGATTTTAAGGATAATTTGGCGGGTGGAGGAAAGCCAGTGAGTCAAGAGTGCTGATTGGTTGGCAGGAGATGAAACCATAGGGAACTGAAGCTGTCCTCTTGCACTGAGTCAGTCAGTTCCAGGGTGAGCCACAAGATCACATGAGCCAGCTTATCAATCTTTTTTTTTTTTTTTAAGATGTGTGGTATTATTTCTTTTTTTTTATTTTTATTTTTTATTATACTTTATGTTTTAGGGTACATGCGCACATTGTGCAGGTTAGTTACATATGTATACATGTGCCATGCTGGTGCGCTGCACCCACTAACTCATCATCTAGCATTAGGTGTATCTCCCAATGCTATCCCTCCCCCATCCCCCCACCCCACCACAGTCCCCAGAGTGTGATATTCCCCTTCCTGTGTCCATGTGATCTCATTGTTCAATTCCCACCTATGAGTGAGAATATGCAGTGTTTGGTTTTTTGTTCTTGCGATACTTTACTGAGAATGATGATTTCCAATTTCATCCATGTCCCTACAAAGGACATGAACTCATCATTTTTTATGGCTGCATAGTATTCCATGGTGTATATGTGCCACATTTTCTTAATCCAGTCTATCATTGTTGGACATTTGGGTTGGTTCCAAGTCTTTGCTATTGTGAATAGTGCCACAATAAACATACATGTGCATGTGTCTTTATAGCAGCATGATTTATAATCCTTTGGGTATATACCCAGTAATGGGATGGCTGGGTCAAATGGTATTTCTAGTTCAAGATCCCTGAGGAATCACCACACTGACTTCCACACTGGTTGAACTAGTTTATAGTCCCACCAACAGTGTAAAAGTGTTCCTATTTCTCCACATCCTCTCCAGCACCTGTTGTTTCCTGACTTTTTAATGATTGCCATTCTAACTGGTGTGAGATGGTACCTCATTGTGGTTTTGATTTGCATTTCTCTGATGGCCAGTGATGATAAGCATTTTTTCATGTGTTTTTTGGCTGCATAAATGTCTTCTTTTGAGAAGTGTCTGTTCATGTCCTTCGCCCACTTTTTGATGGGGTTGTTTGTTTTTTTCTTGTAAATTTGTTTGAGTTCATTGTAGATTCTGGATATTAGCCCTTTGTCAGATGAGTAGGTTGCGCATTCTCTAGAGAAGAACGATCACCAATAGCAAATGGCAGTTGGAATAACGCAACACCAAACGCTGTTTTCACGCTCATGAGAGAACACAAATATCTCCTCCTCGTGGCATAATTTTCAAAAACCACAATTAAGTGGGCCTCCAGAAGACAATTAACAGTATCAGTTCCCAAGTTCTGATTTACACTGATTCATTACTGACAATATGCCTTTCTCTCATCTTACATCTTTCAAACTTTATACATAAAACTGGGTGTTGGCTTCCTGGATTTAACCTGGGCTCAATGTCATCACCATTCATAACCTTTCTCTTATTCTACCACTTTCAGATAATTTAGGTTTACTGAAGTCAGTAGCGGGTCTCCATCTGTTAGTCCTTCCTTCATGAATAGCGATCCGGCAGCCATCTAAAACAACTAGCAAGGTAAATGGAAACTTTGCTCAAATGCATTTAAACAATTAAGACAAGAAAAATGAGAGAAATCCTCCATAATACATTTAGAAAGAGCACAATGCCGTTTTCAAAGTTTAGATGTCACTCATGTCTCTAAATTATTATCATGTGTAATTATTGAAATAATGAAAGATTTTACAAGTTTGCACTTAAGGGTCCCATGAAGCACATAAACTCCACTGTGTTAATTCCATACTATAGACATCAAAGATGGAGTAATTCAAACTGAGTTTACAGAAATAACATAAATTTTAATCCAGTCACAGAATAAAGATATCATTATGAAACATTTCATGAGGCTATCATTTCAAAAAGCCAAACTGGGCCACATGAATAAATAAATTCATAAATAAATACAACAAAAAATGGATATGAGATATTAATCTTCCACAGATCTATAAATATACATCTGTCTATGAATTCATATTAATATTTATTTTGCCATAGGTCAAGAAAGCTTGAGAATGCAAGGGTGAGATGAAGGCAGAAAATATGGTTAAGGAAGTGAGAAAAGTAAGATCTGACAGCTTAAGATTAGTAAATTCTCATATGGGATATTAGAAGCAAAGAACAACCCTAAAAGTTTGCAGGATAATTTATTGTAATAGAATAATATGTTCTAAATTGTTTTACAAATTGTATCTTTATATAAAATGTAAATTTTATGTTTTTGTATTTTTTTATGTTTTAAAGCTTTACAATAGTATTACACAATAAAATGACAATAGAAATTATTCCATTGTATTAGAAAGTTAAAGTGAAAGCTTATTAAACCTTAAACTTCATAGAAAAGATAGTAAAATATTCTAATCGGTTGCATTTTGAAGGATAGCTCATTTTAAAAAATATATATGAAATAATATAAATTAATTAGATTTAAGAAACATAGATCATTGTTTTTTTCCAAAATTGTTTTACTAACTGATGTCAAAAAAGTGTCTTAAAATTAGTGCTCCTATCTCCCGTTTACTATTCTTCCCATATCAAACCCTTACTTATTTTAGATATCAATTACCAGTTTAAAAGTAAACATGTAATAGTTGTAACTCTCCATAATTATGTTTTCTTCCATTAACTTTTAAATTTATCTTCCATTGTTTTTCTTCTGTTATTCTGGGTCTAGTGCCTTACCATACAAAAGATACTGATTATAACTTAGTTGATATTTGAGGTTTGAAAGAGTGGTTGTGTTTTGAGTCCTTCAAATGTGTTTGAAAATTAAATCAACAACAACAATAAACATGTTTCTTTGATTGTAAGAGTACTTTTTGTTTGAGTAGGGAAAAAAAGCTTAGTAATATATCAAGTTAAATAATCTAAAACAATTATTACATTTAACACATGGAAGAGAAATATTGTTTTAAAAATATAGCATATACGGTTTGCCAATTGTACTCAAAGCTCTTTTGTGGGTGACAGGCAGAGTCAACACCTTATAAAATGTAATTCACATTTGTGGACAATATTGACACTGACCAATAACCAATTTCCTCTCCTTGAGCATGACAGACACGATAGTTTGTGCTCATTTCCAGTTAGGCACAGGTATAGGACTAGTTCTGGGCAATGAAATGTGAGTAGAAGTAATGTTTGTTTTTTACAGTTGAGATAGTGACATTCTCTGCTCATGTGACATTCCCTGTTCACTCTCTCTTTCTCTCTCAGTCCAGCAATGATTGTAAAAGTTCTGAGGTTGTTACTGCATCAAAATTTAGTCTATATTGACTGTAATACTGTTAAACATAATTTCAAACATACATCATGATGATTCTTTACAACCCTGTATAGGAAGGCCAAGGGTAGTAGTCAAAGCCTGGCAGGAATCTTGTTTACCTAAAGATAAAAGCAGATGGTATAAGTGACATCTGCCAACAGACATAGGTGGAGGATACAGAAAAATTCACATAGTCCATCAGTTATATACATGATTTGAGTTACCCTCAGCACCTGTCTTTTCAATAAGAATCAGTTTAGCTAATACATGATCTCAAGGAGAAGAATGCCAGAGTCAAAGAATCAGGAGAGCAAAACAATAGTTTTCTAAATGGCCTGAATCATTTGTAAATTATCTACAATATTCAAATCCTGTAAGACTAGAAGTTATATCATATTCCACTTACTCTGTGAATGAAAGTCCAAGGTTTAGAGGAGAGGAGAGAAGAACTAAGACCACTGTATGTTAAAACTCAACCATTAATATTTCTTTTCATTTAATTAACTCACTTTCTGGGAGAACTTGATGTTTGGTTTGACTACTCAGTTTTTATTTCATGAGCACTACATCCTCTTATTTTTTAGGGCCTTCCTTTTATGTATCATAAGTTTCTGCAGTTTACCATCTGAACACTCTATAATTTTAACTTCCAGACGATTATTCTCCTCACATTATGCTATGCAAAATTGATCCTTATCTGACATTCTTTCAACCTATACACACACACACACACACACACACACACGATTACATTACCCCAAGTCTCTGGTTTTTGCTCTGGTTCTATTGAAAGGAACTGACTCCAGCACAGCGAACTGGACATGCAAGTAAGAAACCCTGTATTGACCCATGACGGAATATATAGAGACTCTAGGCAAGAGCAGAAAATCAGCAATAACATCTAATGAGCCAAACAGCCAATCTTGGCATCAAGTGGGTATAAAACTTGACTGCAGGGCTTCCCTTGCAGATCCAATGTAAGTAAATAATGATAAAAGTCTTACTTATACTATGCAAATTAAAATAGTATCTAACTTTTTAAGGAAAGACACTTGGAAATATATTTCTATATAATCATAAAAAGTCAAACTCACACATAAGCCTTCAATTAGCTGATACATTCTTTAAATGATTTTCCAATGCACTAACACCTAGAAGGGAAAAATAAAACTTATTATAATAAAAAAGGATGCACATCGTTGAGAAATCAATAGGTAATTTTGTCCATTGATCCCTTCTTTTTTCCTTGCCCCAAGGTGCATGAAAAGAAATAGCTTGACAGTGGTTTCCGATTTTTAGATATAATTGCAAATCCTTTAATTCTGGCTTAGGCATAGGCATTTGTCATATTATAGCTAATGTATATTAATATATATTTTCCTAAATTTACAAAGTAATAATGAGAAAACAAATAAAATACAAAATTTAGGATTTCTTTTACTTTGTCGATTTTGATTTAACAGAATCTCATTCTAAAGATTATGAAGACTGACCATATCGGTAATAAATGAACACTGATGTATTTTAATTTAAAAGACATTTGGAGGTTCTTACAAATTTTTTTCACTTACATTTAATCTTCTAATTTTTTTCACTTACATTTAATCTTCTAAATTATCTTTAATTTTTATGTTGTGGCTCTTTCCTTTTCAAGCTTCAATTCTTTCTCTTACCACCTTTCTTATTCTTCCATGCCTGGGTCATAGAACTAAATTTACCTGTTCCACAAATGTCATTATCAGTATGTATTTTATTTTAAGCAAGTCCATCTCCTCAGAGGATTCCCTTGTATCCTGCTAAGCAGGTAAATGTTTGGCTCCCCGAGTTCTGAAAATCACAGGAGTAGGAGACTGGAGGTGTTACCGTCCAGAATGCAGTCCTTAATCTGAAGCCCTGGATTTCACAATGCACTTTCCATCTGCACTCACAGAAGTCTTATGCCACTAAACTGAATCAGGCTCTTTGATCGTTTATCTTCCCCTGTGGGCTGCAAGTCTCTAATTATTTGTTTTTTTTTTTTTTTTTTTTTTTTTTTTTGAGATGGAGTCTCGCTCTGTCGCCCAGGCTGGAGCGCAGTGGCGCGATCTCGGCTCACTGCAAGCTCTGCCTCCCGGGTTCACGCCATTCTCCTGCCTCAGCCTCCCGAGTAGCTGGGACTACAGGCGCCCGCCACCATGCCCGGATAATTTTTATGTATTTTTAGTAGAGACGGGGTTTCACCGTGTTAGCCAGGATGGTCTGGATCTCCTGACCTCGTGATCCGCCCGCCTCGGCCTCCAAAAGTGCTGGGATTACAGGCGTGAGCCACCACGCCCGGCCGGTTCTTACAAATTTTAAATATCCAAGAAACGTAATTTTTATTCTTGTAAGCCATCGCGTGTAATATGACCAGTGTTTAAAATACCTTATGGTATCTGCAATGACACTTATGAGGCATAAATTTATATAAATGCTTATGTCATGGGTTGAAAACGCAGTGGTGGGGTCTTAGGATAGAAAATAATACATGCCCTTCATACAAATAAGCTAAGAACAAGTACAGCAGCATGCTGCCTTGAGGAGGGCACTGTGGAGAATAACGCAAGAGGAAGGGGCAGAGAGAGCAGACAGTCTGAGCCCACTTCCCAATTTGGCCCAAGACAGGCAGGAAAGGGAGACAGTACAAAGTTTATTTTTTAATATATATCAACTCATATTTGAAGTTCCAGGGTACATGTACAGGATGTGCAGGTTTGTTATGTAGGTAAACGTGGTTTGCTATGGTGGTTTGCTACACAGAACAACCCATCACCCAGGTATTAAGCACAGTCATTAGGGAAAACTCTCAAGGATTCAAAGGAGTATAAAAATCAATTTTAAAATAAAATATTATGTGGAATTGTTATTTAATACTTATTGAAAAAGTTAATTCTATTAGAAAAAGCAGACATTAATTCTTTTTTTTAGATTCAAAGTAAATGGAAATAATATAATGGATAAAATACATAGAGTTAATGGCTTTTAATCCTTATTATTAACTCAGGCTACTGGAGCCACATAATAACCTTAATGTCTAATGAATATATTATTTCAGAATAAAGTTCTTTTCGGAGAGTGGTATTTAACTGTTGAATGCCCTTTATCTCAAGAGAATTGATTTGCATTTAAATGAGCAGTCCTTCAAGTAATTATCCATGGAGATTTTTTTTAATATAAAAAGTGTTGAGTACCTGTTTTAGAACATATAGAAATTACGGTGTACTTTGGTTAACACCGATAATGTTGGACAATTAAATTAATACTTTAAAAATTATATTCTCTACCACTTAATAAACTAAATTAATTAAAGATTCTTAAGGAAATAATACATTATCCACTTCAAATTAAGGAACAGCAATTTTTTACTGTTTTGAGCATCAGTATACATCTTGATAGGATAATTGGGTGGTGTGCCATTTAAAAATACAAACAAATCCTCAATTATCATCATTATTTACTTATATCAAAATTTTTACTCCAGGAGAAACATACCTCCGAGATATTGTGGGTTTGTTTTCAGACCATTGCAATAAAGTGAATATCACAATAAAGCAAGTCCTATGAATTCTTTTGGCTTCCCCATGCATATAAAAGTTATGTGTACACTGTACTGTAGTGTACTAAGTATGCAATAGTATTATGTCTAAAAAAAGTACATACCTTAATGACAAATACATTATTGCTAAAAATGTTAATGATCATCTAATATTTTGGTGAATCATAAACTTTTTGCTGGTGAATGGTCATGACTTCACGTTATTGGCTGCTGATTGATCAAGTTGGTGGTTGCTGAAGGTTGAGGTGACTGTGGCAATTTCTGTAAAATAAGATAACAACAAAATTTGCTGTATCAATTGACTCTTCATTTCATGAAAGATTTTTCTGTAGCATGCAATGCTGTGGATAGCACTTTATCCACAGTAGGACATCTTTCAAAATTAGAGTCAACCCTCTCAAATCTTACCATTGCTTTATAAACTAGGTTTATGCGATATCGTAAATCCTGTGTTGTTTCAACGATGTTCATAGCATCTTCACCAAGACTAGATTTCATCTCAAGAAACTACTTTATTTGTTTATTCAAAGAAGCAAATTCCCATCCATTCAAGTTTTACCATGAGATAGCAGCAATTCAGTCACATTTTCAAGCTCCACTTCTAATTCTAGTTCTTTTGCTATTTCCACCATATTTGCAGTTATCTCCTCCACTGAAGTCTTGAGCTCCTCAAAGGTACCATGAGGGCTGAATCAATTTCTTCCAAACTCCTGTTAATGTTGATATTTTGACCTCCTATGATTCATAAATGTTCTCAATGAGATCTAGAATGGTTAATCCTTTCTGACTTTGCCCAGATCCATCAGAAGAATCACTATCTTTGGCAACAATAGACTTAGAAAATGTATTTATGAAATCATAAGACTTGAACATCAAAATTCTCCTTGATCCATGAGCTTCAGAATGGATGTTGTGTTAGCAGGAATGAAAACAACATTAATCTCCCTAGACATCTTTATTAGAGCCACCAAGTGACCAGGTGCATTGTCAGTGAGCAGTAATATTTTAAAAGAAATATTTTTTCTAAGTAGAAGGCTCAACATTGGGCCTAAAATATTCAGTAAACCATGCTGTGAACAGGTTATGTTTTTATCCATGCTTTGTTATTTCATCTGTAGAGCACAAGCAAAGTAGATTTAGCGTAATTCTCAATAGCACTAGGATTTTTGAAACGGTACATGAGCATTGGCAACAAGTTAAAGCCACCAGCTGCATAAGCTTCTATTCAGAGAGTCAATCGGTCCTTTGAAGATCTGAAGCCAGGAAGTAACCTTTCTTTAGCTATAAAAGCCCTAGATGGCAAGTTTTTCGAATAAAAGGCTGTTTTGTCTATATTAAAAATCAGTTGTTGATTATAGCCACATTCATCAATGATCCTAGCCTGATTTTCTGGGTAACTTGCTAGTTTCTACATCAGCATTTGCTGCTTCACCTTGCACTTTTATGTTTTGCTTTCTTTCTCAAACCTCTGAACCAACCTCTGCTAGCTTCAAGCTCTTTTTTTTTTTTTTTTCTCAGCATCTTCCTCACCTCTCCTTTAGCCTTCATGGAATTAAAGCGAGTAAGAGCCTTGCTCTGAATTAGGCTTTGGCTAAGGGAAATATTCTAGCTGATTTGATCTTCTGTCCAGATAGCCAAAACTTCCTCCATATCAGCAATAAGGCTGTATTACTTTCTTATAATTTGTGCATTCACTGGAGTAGCACTTCTAATTTCTTTCAAGAACTTTTCCTTTGCATTCATAATATAGCTATTTGGTACAAGAGGCTTAGTTTGGAGCTTATTTCAGCTGTTGACATACCTTTTTCACTATACTTAATTATTTCTACCTTTCTATTTACAGTTAAAGACATGCAACTTTTCCTTTCACTTGAACACTTAGAGGCCATTGTACGTTTATTATTTGGCCTAATTCTAATACTGTTGTGTCTCAGAGAGTAGAGAGGCCTGAGGAGAGGAAGGCAGACAAGGGAAAGACAAGGGAAACACTGGTCAGTGGAGCAGTCAGAACACATAAAACATTTGTTTATTAAGTTTGACTACTAACATAGGCACAGTTTGTGTCACCCCAAAGCAATTAGTAACATCAAGGATTGCTAATCGCACATCACCATGACATATATAATCATAATATAAAGTTAAAAATTGTGAAAATTATCAAAATGTGACAAAGACAAAAAGAGGGCACTTGCTGTTGTAAAAATGGTGCTGATAGACTTGTTCAATGCAAGTCTATCAATTTGTAAAAAACCTTCAGTTTGTAAAAAATGCATTACATGCAAAGAGCAATGAAGTGAAGTTCAATAAAACAAGTTATACCTTATCGGGGAATCTGCCCCAATATTCGCATAGGCTCATTTCTATTTTCCTTAAGCGTCAGCCAGCTTGAGAAATAAAGGGACAGAGTACAAAAGAGAGAAATTTTAAAGCTGGGTGTCCAGGGGAGACATCACATGTCGGTAGGTTCTGTGATGCCCCACAAGCCTCAAAACCAGCAAGTTTTTATTAGGGATTTTCAAAAGGGGAGGGAATGTACGAATAGGTGTGGGTCACAGAGATCACGTGCTTCACAAGGTAATAGAATATCACAAGGCAAGTGGAGGCAGGGCGAGATCACAGGACCACAGGACCACAGGACCGAGGTGAAATTAAAATTGCAAACGAAGTTTCGGGCACCATTGTGATTGATAACATCTTATCAGGAGACAGGGTTTTGAGATCAACCGGTCTGACCAAAATTTATTAGGCGAGAATTTCCTCTTCCTAATAAGCCTGGGAGCTATGGGAGACTGGGGTCTATTTCACCCCTGCAGTCTCGACCATAAGAGACGGCACACCTAGGGGGACTGTTTATAAGCCTATACCTCCAGGCACATATTCTCTTTCCCAGGGATGTTCCTTGCTGAGAAAAAGAATTCAGAAATATTTCTCCCATTTGCTTTTGAAAGAAGAGAAATATGGCTCTGTTCCGCCCAGCTCACCAGCGGTCAGAGTTTAAGGTTATCTCTCTTATTCCCTGAACAATTGCTGTTATCCTGTTCTTTTTTCAAGGTGTCCAAATTTCATATTGCTCAAACACACAGGCTGTAAAATTTGTGCAGTTAATGCAATTATTACAGGGTCCTGAGGTGACATACATCCTCCTCAGCTATAAAATGACAGGATTAAGAGATTAAAGTAAAGACAGGCATAGGAAATTGCAAGGGTATTGATTGGGGAAGTGATAAGTGTCCATGAAATCTTTACAATTTATGTTTAGTGACTGCAGTAAAGACAGGCATAAGAAATTATAAAAGTATTAATTTGGGGAACTAATAAATGCCCATGAAATCTTCACAATCCATGTTCTTCTGCCATGGCTTCAGCCAGTCCCTCCGTTTGGGGTCCCTGACTTCCCACAACAATACCTCTATGTGTTACCCTTTAAAAACCATCCAGCACAAATATGTAAGATTGTAGAAAATGTATAAACTGAATATATGTATTATCTTATAAATACAAAAAATGCTTTGAAATTATTTCAAATTAATAAACTAATTTTGCATGTTAAGTGCTATAGAATGTTTATGATCATTTAAAACCCTATGAAAAACTGTACTTCTAATGCACTTCTAAGATTATCTTGCCATTATTTTTAATATAAAGAAACGACAGCCATACATTTACTTTGTTAAGCTACTAATATAATCCTTTACCCAATACTGAAAATCTTCTGGTTTCTATTCAATCTATTTACTTCTTTTCCAACTCATTTAGAAAGAGTAATGAATCACCTCTAATTTAAAAAGGGGAAAGAAGATTAAAAACAAATATGCTTACATGTATACTGTTCTCTTTCTAGTATGAGTGGGCTGTCTCTTCCAGTTCTCTTTATATAACATACTACATAAAATTAGGATTAACTTGCAGCTGATGTGAAATAGCTCTTTGGTTATGTCCAGACATTTGTGGAACTACAGCACTGAGCAACTGGCCAAGATAGCATTAAAAGGTAATAATATTGATTTATAATATACTGTTTAAAGTCCTGAAATCATGCTGGATATTCCTTGTGCAAACTTGTGTATATTATTTATTAACAATGTATAGAATAATTTTTCATCATCTGCATCTCATATGGGATATGTAACCAGTGGGATATAAAATATTTCATAACCAGTGGGATATAAAATATTTCATTATATCTATATTTGTATCTTTGTTTATCTGAGAATGAAATACCTTGAATATATTGGTGGTTTACGAGTCATAGACAAATTGTTTCTTTTGCAACTCTTTAATCTGAGCTTGGATATTTCAGAACTTTTTAATTGTGTCTATGTATTTTGTATCTCTTCCTTGGAAAACAAATCATAAGTTTTGAAAACTATATTTTAAAAAATGTAAATCTTAACCCATAGAACATACAGCAAATGAAGAAACATTAAAGAAAATCTTCTAAATCTTGGTAAGAGAAACAAAATCTTGTGCACTTGTTCTGCAATCTGCTATTCCCTGTCTGATGTCCGAGCCCAGGCATTGAAGGCTCTATTCTGGAATATGTCGTCAAGAACAAATGGTTCCCTCTCCCCTCAGGTTCCCAGGCTAAGGCTCTCTCCCTAGAACGGGAAGGCTGTGGACATCTCACCCTCATTGGTAGGGTGGAAAGTCTACTTCTACGAGACAAAAATCTTGGACCCCAATCACCCTGCCATGCCTCATTCATAGGGCATTCTGGAAGGCGTTGAGAAGACCTGGGACTATTGCCCTGACCGAATAACCCATGCATAAAAAGGGCCGCCATTTTGACGGAAATCAGCCACTGTTCCTGCCACCAGCTTCAGAGAAATTGCACACAGTATTATCCCAGAAGGAAAAACAGGGTTGTTGCTCTCTGTGAATGAACTAACTTTATTTGTGAGAACATCAAGCCTAAGGATACAGTCGAAAACAATGGTGGTTTTTGTGAAAAGTAATTATAAGGAGTCCGGTAGCTACATAATAGCAACAAGCTAAACAAGTTTAGACATTAAAAGAGAAAACCATGCAAAGAAACAGCTAAAAGAGAGATCTCCTGAGATCAAAACAAGATTCAAGATGACTCAATGATTCTCCCTGCAAAGATCCCGAATTTCACCGTTTTAGGTTTTGGAAGAGTTTATGCCCGGGATATTGACAACAATACTGTTTTTGTTTTCAGTGAGCAAATAGTGGAGGCTACAAGATAAGTGTGATGTCAACAGAGGTAGATCTACTAGATTTTTAACAGACCATCAGGGAAAAAGTCAGTCAAAGGGAACCCTGCTAAAGTACTGTCATTCTAGGGTGGCTGTGTGCCGCCTTAGAACAACTTTTTTCAGCATGCTACTTATGCCCTATGAGTGAGCCATGGTTTGCAGGCTCTGAGAAATGAAATCAGAGGCTACATACTTCGGGGAAAACGGGCTTCACTAAAGTAGCGCAGCCAAGTATCTAAATAAAAGCAAACAACAACAGGCTCTGGAAGTGAGTTCAGGTTCAGCAACTCAGTAGAATTGCAATAGTATACTATCTAAAATATTCAGTTTTCAACAACATATTATAAGATATGTAAAGAAACAGGAATTTGATACACAAGAAGAAAAACAAGCAAAAGAGACTTTTTGAAAAGGGTGGGGTATCAGGAGACAATGGCTTAAATTGATAGTATAAATATATTCAAAAAAACTAAAGAAAACCAAGCTTAAAGAAGTAAAGCAAGGTATAATGACACTTTCATTAAACCAAGAACATCAATAAAGAGATTAAAATTATAACAGAATCAAATAGAAATTTTGAGGTGAAAAGTACAATAATTGAAATGACAAAAAAATCATTACAGCCTCTCACCAGTAGTTGTGAGCTGGCAAAAGAAACAGCAAATTTAAAGACAGATTGATAGAGATTAAGCGATCTGAAAACCAGAGGGATAAAAAGAGAATGAGGAAAAATCAACAGAATCTCAGAGAAATGTGGGACACCATG
This sequence comes from Homo sapiens, assembly GCF_000001405.40. NCBI lineage: Eukaryota > Metazoa > Chordata > Mammalia > Primates > Hominidae > Homo > Homo sapiens. The sequence continues at coordinate 80,639,693 of NC_000003.12, forward strand.
AAGCACATCACCATGCCTGTAATGGGAATATCAGAGGAGAAGAGAGATTGGAAGGGGCAGAGAAAATACTTAAAAAAATAATGACTGAGGCCAGGTGTGGTGGCTCACGCCTGTAATCCCAACACTTTGGGAGGCCGAAGGGGGCAGATCACGAGGTCAGGAGATCGAGACCATCCTGGTTAACACGGTGAAACCCTGCCTCTACTAAAAACATAAAAAAATTAGCCTGGCGTGGTGGCAGGCTCCTGTAGTCCCAGCAACTGGGGAGGCTGAGGCAGGAGAATGGCGTAAACCCGGGAGACGGAGCTTGCAGTGCACCGAGATCGCGCCACTGCACTCCTGCCTGGGCAACAGAGCGAGAATCCGCCTCAAAAAAAAAAAAAAAAAAAAAAAAAAAGAAAAGAAAAGAAAAAGAAATAAACTGAAAATCTCACCAATTTCATGAAAATATTTCCACACACAATCAAGAAATTCAACAAACTCTAAATAGTATAAATGCAAGGAGGTCCTGTGCACCCAGCCACAAAATAGTTAAAATGTTGAAAGACAATGACAAAGAGAAAATCATGGAAGAAACAAAAACTCCTTCTTACATACAATAGAACCAAAATAAGATTAAAAACTGACGTCTAAACAGAAACACTGGGTAATTTCTTAGGATTTCTGAATAGCCTCAAATCTAGTATCTTAAGCAGAAACTTTAGGCCAGTCAAGAGAGAGGAGAATATTGAAAAACATTTTTGGTGACTTACTAGTCACGATTCTCCAGAGAAATAGAATTGGTAGGATGTAGCTAGTTGGGTAGATGGATGGGTGGGTGGACAGATAGACAGATAGGCAGATTGATTGATTTATTTTAAGGAACTGGCTCATGTGATTGTGGAGGCATGGTAAATCCAAAATCTGACCTGGGAGGCTGATTGGCTGGAGACTCAGGAGCAGTTCAAGTCCAAAGACAGTGAGCTGGAAAACCAGGTACAGCCAATGCTGCAGTTGAAGTCTGAAGGCAGTCTGCTGGAGAATTCTCTCTTGTTTGGGGAGATCAGCCTTGTGTTCTATTGAGGCCTTCAACTAATTGGATAAGGTCAGCCAATATTATAAAGTACAATATGCTTTATTCAAAGTCTACCAATTAAATCTCATCCAAAAGCATGCTCATGGAAACATCCAGAATAATGTTAGACCAATTATCTGGGCACTAAATGAACCACCACAGTAACCAGTGAAGGGTTCCTTTACTGACAGTTCAAGAACAAAGGGAATAACATCTGTGGCTTATTAAATAGCACTGCCGGTCATCCGAGCACAGACAAATATTATCTAATGATCATTTATTTAATTTAAAAATACTCTTAGAACATATTCATTTAAGAACGTGTAAAAATACTTTAAAGGAAGGAAGTAAAATTCAATTGAATGAAAGCAGTACTTTTGACCTTTGCTATTTAGATTATTTTCCAGTGTTAATTCTTTTTTTTTTTTTTGCAATGCATTCTCTCTCTTAGAAGCAGCTGAAAGTGTGCCAATTAATTACTTTTCATTTTAGTTCACAATGAGTTTTTTCTTTATTTTCATAACCTCATGCTAATTTTCTACTTCAGTGAATTTAAGACAAAACAAAATGAATCTATTTCAAATAGGCAAAAATTAACCCAATATTTCTTTTTCTATTAAGAGGCACAAAACCCTTTTAAACTTTCATCTATTGTTAATTTATATATTCAAATTTTAGCTTATAACAAAGGTTATCACTCCTCTATCATTTCAATTTGTTTTCGGCCACCTTCTCCATCATTTCAATGATAGTACTAGTTTGAATAGTCCAAGGTTATGAAATGCTATGTCATCACAGTTTGACAACATCAAGTTAGGGTGGTGGCTTGCAAGGCCAGATTACTGCCATTAATGGCCTAATAGTAGTCAGTTTATTGCCATGGTCACCATTCACCAGAATGTTCCTCCTTCCCGTAGTGTGGTTACCATGCACCAGAGTTGCCCCCTTCTGCTAACTATGTGGAAGATTCTGAAATTTATCATATTCAGATATAGAAGCTTTATTTGTCGTTACACACTGGCAAGAAATATAAAATAGTATCAATTGTGGATATTCAGGGAAGATATATAGCTTTCTGATAATCTCATTGCCTGGGCTTGATATTAAGTGCATCTACTCCCTAAGATCAACAGAATTTGCAGCCAGAAATTTTCTTCACAACGTCGATTTTTAAATCTAGAATCACTGAGTGCTGAAAGATGATTCATGCAGATATATGATGTTACGCCTGTTCAGATATTCTTACGATACCAAATAATCTCACTGTCAGAACATGTATCTGCTGGATTCAGAGGCTTTCTTGCCTGAATAGACTTAGACGTCAATGCCACATTTTTGTTGCTTGGTTTCCTTTTTGAAGACTGTATTAGTTTGTTACGGCTGTAATAATAATATAGCACACATTTGGGATGGCTTAAGCAACAGAAATGTATTATCTTACAATTATGGAGGCTAGAAATCTGGGACAAACGTGTGAGGAGGGTTGGTTTCTTCTGAGGCTTAGTCCTCTCTCCTTGCCTTGTACCTAGCTATCTTCTCCCTTGTCTTCACATGGTCTTCCCTCTGTGTGTTTCTTTGTCCCAATCTCCTCTTATTATAAGGACACAAGTCATATTTGATTAGGGCCAACCATAATGGCCTCGTCTTAAAATAATAACCTCTTTAAGGGCCTGATATCCAAATATAGTCACATTCTGAGGAATTTGGGGTTAGAACTTCAACATAGGAATTTAAAGGGCACACAATTCACTACAGAGACCCCAGAAGATTATCTCTGTTCTTTAGAGGTAGTCATCTTTAAACGTGGTTTGATATAATTGTCTAAGCAAGAATTGTGTTCAAAATGGACAAAAGATAAATCTATATCACATAATCTAAGTATAATTAAAACACTGCATTTCTATAAAATTGAGACTTGCTGTATTGACCAAAAACATTACCAGCAATAAGTTGTAATGCTTTGGAACACAACTTTGTCGTGTTATTTAAAACTAATCAGTTACAAATTGTAAGAATTTGATTCATTGGTAATCATTAACAGGAATTTATATTTATCTATAGATGAAGTAAATTATACATGAAGTCCTACTTAGAAAGTGATGGCTCACTGTGTTTTTCTATTTTTTGACAATATTATCTTCTGACTATTACATACAAAACCAATGTAGAAAATGTGGAACAGAGTCAGCAAGTAGAGCATAGTTGAAGATGTGATCAGAGGTGTAAGAGGCAGGTGCATTCGGCGACAATTTCTGCAGGGGAATGTAAGAAGTTTGGCTTTTACTCTGTAATGACAACCCCATGGCAGTTTTTAGGACATAATGGTGACCACAGAGTAGACTTTGAATAAAAAAGAAAATAAAAATTACTAATACCTTCAAATGTTCACTCATATGAAGTACTAAAATTTGGTAATTAGGCAAGTGTGTAAAATAAGTTGATACAGCTGTATAAACGTGTGTATATAAAATATTTTCTGTAGGACAAATCATCTGTTATACAATCATGCTATTCATAAATGTCAATAGTAGCCACAGATTTTTAGATAGACTAGTCACTGAAACAGTTTGGGTAATCATACAAGAGTTACATATCCAGAAGTTACTGAAGGAATTCAGTGGAGTCAAGACACCAAGCAGAAAGCTAAAAATGTTATCAAACTCTGGGAACAATTTGCATTCCCCCATTCCTTCAAAGGATATATTGAAGTGCTAATCCCCAGTGCTTCAGGATCATTGTAGATGTAATTAGCTACGATGAACTCATACTGGAGTAGGGTATGCACTTAATCCAATATGACAGGTGTCCTCATAAAAAAGGCCATGTGGCCATGTGAAGGCAGAGACACACAGCGAGAATGCTATGTGACAACAGAATCATAGGCAGAGTTACGCAACTGCAAGCCAAGGAATGGCAATGATTGACAGCAAGTCACCATATGCTAGAAATAAGCAAAGAAGAATTCTCCTACAGACTTCTGTGGGAGCTCAGCCCTGCCTACACCTTAATTTTAGACTTCCAGCCCCTAGAACTGTGACCGAATACATTTGTGTTGTTTTAAGCTACCCAGTTCATGGTAGTTTGTTATGGCAGGCCAAGGAAAATAACACAGGATCTAAAGTGCTTCTCCAGGGAGTACTTTGTCATTTATGATAACATCTATTTAAGTGAAGGTTACAACTCTGCTGAAACAGAATTGTTTCCTTCTAGCCCAACTTTACCTCTTAAAGGCAGAACTGGTCTAACAAATATGTAGTGTTACCTGATGTGGTACTGCTACTTGGATAAGAAAAACAAAAACAAAAACAAACAAAAAACCCCAAGAATAAGGAAACTCCAGAAATAGATATACACATGTATGGAAATTTAGAATATGGTAAAACAGGTATCTAAAAATTGAGGTATATCAATTGGATTAGGCAACAATCAATATTTGTGGAACTAAGTGGCCATCTGGAAAACTATTAGATATATATTTCATAATTTACAACAAAATAAATCCAAATTTTACCATAAAGTGTGAAAAAAAATATAAAAATAATTTTCATTCTACCTCACCCAAAAGGCAGCCTGTTAAAACAAAACAGAAAATTTAGGACTATAAAAAATACTGATAAATCTCACAATATTAAAGAAAAATCTATGCTAAATATGCAAAGGATAGATGAAAAATGAGTGTGATGATTACTGTTATGTGTCAACTTGATTGGGCCATGGGGTGCCCAGATCTTTGGTTAAACATTATGCTAGGTGTATTTTTGAGGGTGTTTCTAGATGGAATTCGATTTGACAAACTGAATAAGGCAGATTACCCTCCCTAGAGTGGGTGGGTCTCATCCAATTCCTTGACGGCCTTAATAATATCAAAAGGCTGAGTAAGAAATAATTCTCTGTCTCTGCCTGACTGTCTCCAGCTGGGACATTGATATTCTGTCTTCAGAGTCATACACAGATTGGAATTTATGGCATCAGCTTTCCTGATTCTCAGGCCTTCAGATTTGGACAGGAGCTACACATCAGTTCTCCTGGGTCTTCAGCTTGCCAGCTGCAGATCTTAGGATATCAAAGTTTCCAAGCCTCCATAATCATGTGAGCCCATTTTTTAAATAAATTATATCTCTCTGTCTCTGTCTCTATTTCTCTGTTAATTTTCTTATGGCTTCTCTTTTTCTGGAGAACCTGATAGATACAATGAGTTAAAAAAATCCAATTTATTGACAAAATTCAGAACTTTATATATATATATGTGTGTGTGTGTGTATATGTATATATGTGTGTATATATGTATATACACACATATATACATATACACACACACACATATATACATATATATACACATATATACACACATATATACACATATATATATACATATATACACACATATATACATATATATATATACATATATACACACATATATATACCTATATACTTCTGTAAGTCAATAAGAACTTAGCAACATGGTCAAAAATGAGCAAAATATCATAAAAATTAAAAAATAATGGAAAAGAATGGAAAATAAAATGTAAATATTTGTATTTACATTTTATTTGTATAAAAGACTTTGAACATCTTTTATAAGACAAATTTGAATTTAAAATAAAACAAGTTACCATTTTTCACCTCTCAGGTTGACAAAGATCAAATATTTGACATTATCTATGTATTCAAGAATTAACATAAGAGATACTGCAATAAAGTGAATATACTGGTATTTTCTGTACAAAGGGTAATTTTGCTATAGGCTCCAAATTAAAAGTATACATATCCTATGATTGAATAATTTTATATCATAAAACTATATTCATATTTTTAAAATAATGATGTATTTTTGGCCTTATTTATTGCAACATTATTTTTCATAGAAAATATCATCAATGAATGTTCAGCAACAGAAAATTGATTAAATAATCTATTGTACACTATGATAAGCAATGACATACTCTATATCTGTAAATAAACTAAGAAAAAGTTAGCTTAAAGAAAACTGATTTCCTTTAGCATGATTGATAATGAATCAGTTATGAAGCTCTTTTAGGACTAATACGGAAAAACTTATAAGTTATGTTGCTATCACCAAAGAAAAGCAAGGTGTGCTACAGTGTACACACTGTATGCTATTATTTGTAAAATAAGGACACATGGAAAACACACATATAGTTTTATATATACGCACACATAAACATGTGTATATGTGCATATACACATATATATGTGTGTATATATATATATTTAATTGCTGATGTGCATCTGTGACTATATATGTGTTTATATCTAACAACATGCCAACAAAATTGGTGACTATAGTTTTGCTCTTCTTAGAATAGGAAGTTCTTGGGCTGAGCAAGAAATACAAAAATTTTTATTGTGTCCAGTTTTCTATGTATTTTTAATTTTTGATATCTATAAGTGTCCAGTTTTCTACATATTTTTACTTTTTGTATCTATATGTATACTAAGTTTTAAGTGTTCAGCATAATGTGGATAATGGCATATATCTTTCTCAAATTCAGACTCAATTATTTTGCATTCCTCAAATAGAGAGGTTTTCATATGACCCTTTAATTGTACTCACCTGGGACTGAGAGACTTTGATAAAATAAACAGAAAGTGAGTAATATAAAGAAAGCAAGCTTTTGCATAAAATGGAAATAATGTGGAATTGAAAAATATTGAAACAGGGAAATTACCCAGTGGCATGTATTAACAGGTTTTCCCAACATGACTACCATAGATTATTGAAATAAGAGAATTCACCCACTACAATGATATCACATATGGTCCACATTCCTACTTGCATTACCTATTGATATGGTTTGGCTCTGTTTCCCCATTCAAATCTCAGCTTGAATTTCAATAATCCCCCACATGTCAAGGGCAGGACCAGGTGGAGGTAATTGGATCATGGGGGGCTGTTTCCCCCATGCTCTTCTCTTGATAATGAGTGAGTCTCATGAGATCTGATGGTTTTACAAGCCTCTGGCATTTCCCCTGCTTCCACTCACTCTGTCCTGCCACCCTGTGAAGAAGGTGCCTCCTTCTCCTTTGCCTTCCACCATGATTGTAAGTTTTCTGAGGCCTCTCCAGCAATGCAGAACTGTGAGTCAATTAAACCTTTTTCCATTATAAATTACCCAGTCTTGGGTATTTCTTCATAGCAGTGTGAGAATGAACTAATACACTTGTCCTAGCCTTGAATCATTCATAAATAGGTAGAGAATAAAGGCATATACAAGAGCAGAATTTAATCCTTGTCCAAGAGAAATTTCCTTGAAAAAAGAATCAAAATATCATGTCCCAGGTTAAAACTGGTACACTGTCTACCACTTTTCCCATCAAGATGTGAGGTTTATTCTTCTTTCACTTGAATGGGGATTGGCTCTGTGACTGTTTCACCAATAAAAAAACATAGTTAACAAACTAAGCCAGTTTGTTAATGCTACTGGCAATCTCTGATCCTTCTTTCTTAGCATACATGCTTTGGGAAAAGCCAGCTTCAGTGTAAAGGATTTGAATACACTAGACTAGCATGCTGTGAGGAAACCTAAGCTAGCCACATGGAGAAGCCACATGAAGGGATCACGTGGAGGGACAGAGAAGTAGGGGGAGAGAGAGAGAAGAAAAAACCCTTAAACCTCAGATGTTCCAGGCATCCAATCTGTGTTTCTAGGCATATACGTAAGGAACACACCTTGCCTATTCGCTCAGTCAAGCTTACACATGACTCTGGTCCTATTTGCCTTCTATCTGGAACCACACAAGAAACCAAAAGCATCAAATATCCACCTGAGACAATTAACCATCAGAAATATGAGAGATGATGACAAATTTTGGCTTTGAGAGATTGTGTGTTATATAAGGTTTGGGGGTGATTTGGTACAAAGATATAGATAATGAGAAAAGAAATTACTTTGTGAGAGTGAATTGCTACTGTGAATTTTTTTCCTTAATGAAGATATGTGAGATTGGCTTGGGAATGGGCAGCAGGCCTGTTTAAAAGGCCTTAAAAAGACTGTTCATAAATGACAGGTAGCAATTTGTTATGAGGCTATTTACAAAAATGTGTTTTTTAGTGACAAAAATTGGTTATACCCTCATGTGTGGTAAAGTGGAAGTAGAATACATTTCTGCTGAATTTGTAGACTTGGCTAAGTAGATTTCAAGGTAAAACTTTATGAAGTCCATCTGGTTTCTTGTAGCTCTGCTTGATAATGTACAGGTAGAGAGAAAAACTGAAAAAGGAAATGTTCTGTCTCAAAGTAGAAAATAGAGAAATTATTTCTGAGGCAGCATTTGTTGTGTTCAGAAATGAAATGTTTTCTAATCTCCAATCTCTCCCAGGAAAATACTCTTAAAATAAAAAATGTCTTGAGGGCAACGAATGAATTCGGGACACTGGTCATGTTTTCAAGAATGACACTCTGAGACTCTCAGTTAAACCCTCAGAAACATGTAATGCAGTGGTTCATAAATCCTCTCTGCTAGACAAGCAGTCCTGTAATATTCTCAAGGGTATTGCCCTAAGATGCTCTGACTTGGGTGACTTGTCTAATGAAGTGGATTATAATTTAAAGTCCAAAAATTTTTAAAGTAATTTTACCTATTTTGGCTAATTTATGTATAAATTAAGGTCACCATCTTCTATGGGTGCAGTTTGTGGTGCCCTAAAACAATTACAATAGTAGCATCAATTTTTCATGGGCGGAAGCAGGCTATGAAATCTATTTAGCATGACAGAAAGAAAGATAAAGAAAGAAAAGAGAGAAAGGGAGAGGAGAGGGAGGGACAGAAGCAAGGAAGTAGGACCATTTAATATGCAAAAAATATGACTCCAAAAACAGAACTTAGCAGGCGGAATGAAGATCCACATAGAACCACCCTCCCAGAGCAGGACTGGGCGCTAATCAAGGAACAAGTGACATGAGACTGACTATATTTTAGAATTCCCCTGGACCTGTGACTTCTCCATGCCTTCCTTTTTCTCCTTTGTTTAGAATAAGAGTCATCTACTGCAGGTTCCCACGTCTCTTCCCTTTGTATGTCAGGTGTGAGGAGGACAGATGACTTGCTCCTATAGTTTGCAACTTTAGGTAAACAGAAATAATACTTAAGAATCCAAATACGAAAAATTGTTCCAAAATAGCCTTATTGTCACCTGGAGCTGGTTTAAATGACAAGATCTGGGAACTAAAAACTGAAATTGACTTCATTACAGGATGAAATTTTGGGAATTTTAGGAGGGGGTGAATGTATTTTGCATTTACAAGAAATGCAAATAATGTATGTCCAGAGGGTAGGTTAAAGATGGATGTCCTCCACCAAAAGCTGAATTTGCCTCAGACCTGTGACTACTCTATAACTAACAGAATGTGTCCGAGCCTTGCTGTGCCAGTTTCAGTTCTAGCATTTGAGAGTAAGTGGGGAGGGGCACAGTGGATCATGTCTCTAATCCCAGTGCTTTGGGAGGCTGAGGTGGGAGGATAACTTGAGCAACACAGCAAGACCTTATCTCAAAAAAAAAAAAAAAGAAAAATGAAAACAGAATGAAGAGTAACAGGGACTTCTGTTTCCTAATGTCTAGGAACACTGGGGAGTAGCCAACTGCCAAGTTTAAAGTCCTATTGACCTGAGAGTAACTCCCTGCAAAAGAGCCCAAGACTGTCATATGGAATGGCCTCATAGAGCAAGAGAGAGAACCCAATTGTTCCACTCCTTACATTAGAATTAGTTTCTCATTGCTGCTATAACAAATTACTGCAAATTCAGTGGCTTAAAACAACACAATTTATTATCTTAAAATTGTGAAGATCAGAAGTAAAAATGTGTAACTGTAGGCTAAAGTCAAGGTGTCAGTAAGGCCGATTCCTTCTGGAGACTTTGAGAGGTAGGTCTCTTTCTCTGTCTTTTCTAGAATCTAGAGGCTCCCTGCATTTCTTAGCTCCTTAGGCCACTTCCCAATAATGGCATCTCTTCAACCTCTGCTGCTTAGTCACACCTTTTATTTCCCCCCTCTGTCTTGCCCCTCTCTTTTAAGGACCCTTGTGATTATATCAGTCCACCCAGATAGTCCAGAATATTCTTCATTTTAAGATCCTTTAGATAATCACATGTGGAAAATCCCTTTTGTGAAATATTCACATGGTGCAGGGATTATTAGGTATGCCATTTATTTCTGGTGTGAAAGGGGCACTATTCTACCACACCATCTGAAGTTCCAGACATGTATGTTGCTATGAAAGCTGTCTTGGCTCATCTGGCCAATTCGAGCCTTCAAAAGACTGCAGCTTTAGCCATCATCTGAGAGCGAACACATTGCAGATCATACACAAGAACTGTTGGGCTGAGTAAAATCTACAGAAATATAAAAGTTAGTATTAAATTTTTTATTCTAAGCCTTAGCTTGTGGTTGTTTGTTATACAGCAATAAATAACCATAATTCTGTAATTGATAAGACCAGGATTTCCTAACTACGTATCCGGGAAAATAAAAAAGGCTGTATACTGGGTCAAGGTAAGTTGGGTTGGGAATAAAGAGGAGTGCTTCCTCGGGATTCTAAATACTGATAGTGCATATGCAATCATTCCCAGTCACTGTGATAAAGGTTGCAGGGTTCCAAAAGCCTATCTGTGGATGTGGGGTAAAAGGAAGCACTACATACACAAATTGCTAACATGTATTCCAAGGAATTTGTTGTAATTTCAATGATGGAATACTATTGATGTGTACATAATGAATATGTTTTTTTAAATGCCACTCTTATCTAAATGAACAGGTTATAATATCTTCCTTCCTGATATTTAATTGGTTTTGTGGAGTGAGGTTGCATCAAAGATACAGACTGTGGATAATATGAAACATTGCAAATTCTCTGACAGACTTCTAATTGTTGTTCAATGTCTGTTTTGTGTTACTTTTTATGATAATAGTTGAATGTTGCTCATACACCTAAGCGTGGACTACAATTTCCAGCTCCTTTCATATCATGTGATAAAAGCTGGGTTGGTACATGCCACTTTTGCGTCTTGATTGTAACATATGGATGCTCTTCTTTCCTTTCGTTTTCCTTTTGTGCATATAGATATGGATACGGAAGACAGTGTCCACATGAATAGGAGACTATTTGGTGAGGAGATAAAAAGAGCTTGGGACCCTTACAGTCTTTCTGAAATTGAGATAATCCTCCAAATAGAGCCACTAACTTCCAGACTATGAAGTAAAAGGAAAAACAGCAACAATAACAAGAACCTTCTATCTTATTTAAGCCATTACATTTTATAATCACTTTTTGTTGTTGTTCTTGTTATTAAGGTAAAAGCTAAGTGAGGTAAAAGCATAGTAGTTAAGATAAAAGCTAAGTTTACCCTAACTACTATAAACCTGGAGGAAGATTTATTCTCACCATTACATACTCTTGGAGAAATAAAAAGTAAGACTTTTATTGCAAAAATGGTGACTGCATAAATCTTGTATTATAGCCTTGGTTAGCTAGTAAGCAAGAACAGCAACGAGATGAAATTACATAAAGAGAACAATAGTCATTTCTCCAGATATGTGATTGTGACTGTATTAGTTCTGAATTCCTGTGTAAGAAGATACTCTAAAATGTAGCAGCTTAAATGACAAACATTTCTTATCTCTCAATTTCTGTGTCAAAAATCAAGGCATAGCTTAGTTGGGTGTTTCTGACCTAAAATTTTCTATAGATTGTAGCAAGCTGTTGACCAGTAATCAAGCATCTCAAGTCTTGACTAGGTCTGAAGGATTCACTTCTATGCTCACTCATAGCTTCCTTTGTTCCTCCTGGGCTTTAGGGCTAAGGCATCAGTGTCTCACATGGGCCTCTGCATAGGGCCATTCACAGCAATGTAGCACCTTGCTTCTCCCAACACTAGAGGTAGAAGAAAGGAGAAACAACAATACAGAATCTAATATCTTTACAGACATGACTTCAGAAGTGAAGTGTCATCACTTTGCTGTAATTTTTAGAAGCCAGTCAGTAAGTTCATTCCATCTGCCACAGAAGAAGTTTCTACAGGAGAATCGATAGCAGAAGACAGGGATCATGGGTGGCCATCTTAGAGGCTGCCTTTCACCCACCGTAGAAAGCAAAGTTTAGCAAACTCAAGGAAAATGTCTTTTTAGATAGAACTTACTGACAGCTTCTTTTTCATCTCTTTTGCAAAGATAGAGCAATCTGCTTTTCCACCAGAAGGAATGCCGCACATTGTTACAGGCCTGCCTCAAGTACGCTTATTATTTCTTATTATTTTCTCAAGTAGTAAAGAATTTTCTAAACTAGTAAAGAATTCTGATAGAGATGTTCATCATTTGTATGGTTATCCATTATGCTGATAATAAGGTAGTAAGTTGGACAGAGGCAGAAAAGCGTTTTGATCTGGTAAAAGTATCAAAACATATTTTTAGTTTGTCAGATTGTTCTGATTAAAATATAAGAATATGTGGATCATTTCACAAATTACCTTGCTATGTCTACCTTGGACTGGAGCTGATAGGCCACTTAGGGATAGTCTAGCAAGGTAAACCATAAATTGTTGATCACTGAAAACATTCAGAGATGAGAATGAAACACAGAGGTAGTAAGAATATTTAGAGTTTGAAGAAATAATTTCTAAGACCTACACCAATTATTAGAACCTAAGTACCAATTTAAAAGATAATAAAGTGTTTTTTTTAAACTGAAGTGAACAGTGTTGCAGTGGTCATTGGGTGAATCTATAAAACTTTTAGAGCAAGCATCCCTTATGCATCTCGTGGAGCCCAGTGATATGGTTTGTATGTGTCCCCACCCAAATCTCAACTTGAATTGTGTCTCCCAGAATTCCCACATATTGTGGCAGGGTCCCAGGGGGAGGTAATTGAATCATGGGGGCTGGTCTTTACCGTGTTAGTCTTGTGATAATTTATCATGAGATCTGATGGGTTTACCAGGGGTTTCCGCTTTTGCTTCTTCCTCATTTTCTCTTGCTGCTGCCGTGTAAGAAGTGCCCTTCACCTCCAGCCATGATTCTGAGGCCTCATCAGCTATGTGGAACTGTAAGTCCAATTAAACTTCTTTTTCTTCCCAGTCTCAGGTATGTCTTTATCAGCAGTGTGGAAATGGACTAATACAGTAAATTGGTACCAGTAGAGTGGGGTGTTGCTGAAAAGATACCTGCAAATGTGGAAGCAACGTTTTAACTGGGTAACAGGCAGAGATTGGAACAGTTTGAAGGACTCAGAAGGAAGCAGGCAAATGCGGGAAAGTTTTGAACTTCCTAGAGACTTGTTGAATGGCTTTGCTCAAAATGCTGATAGTGATATATGGACAATAAAATCCAGGCTGAGGTGGTCTCAGATGGAAATGAGGATCTTGTTGGGACCTGGAGCAAAGGTGACTCTTGTTATGTTTTACCAAAGAATATGGTGGCATTTTGCCTCTGCCCTAGAGATTTGTGGAACTACGAACTTAAGAGAGATGATTTAGGGTATCTGGTGGAAGAAATTTCCAAGCAGCAAAGCATTCAGGAGGTGGCTTGGGTACTGTTAAAGACATTCAGTTTTAAAAGGGAAACAGAGCATAAAAGCTCAGAAAATTTGCAGCCTGACTATGGGATAAAAAAGAAAAACCCATTTCTGGGGAGAAATTCAAGCCGGCAGCAGAAATTTGCATAAGTATCAAGGAGCCTAATGTTAATCCCCAAGACCATGAGGAAAACATCTCCAGGCCATGTCAGAGACCTTCCCAGCAGCCCCCCTCATCACAGGCCTGGAGGCCCAGGAGGAAAAAGTGGTTTCATGGGCTGGGCCCAGGGTCCCCATGCTATGTGCAGCCTAGGGACTTGGTGCCCTGTGTCCCAGCCACTCCAGCTGTGGCTGAAAAGGGCCAACATACAGCTCAGGCTATGACTTCAGAGGGTATAAGCCCCATGCCTTGGCAGCTTCCATGTGGTGTTGAGCCTGTGGGTGCACAGAAGTCAAGAATCTCCACCTAGATTTCAGAAGATGTATGGAAATGCTTGGGTGCCTGGGTGAAAGTTTGCTGCAGGGGCGGGACCCTCATGGAGAACATCTGCTTGGGCAGCGTGGCAGGGAAATGTGGGGTTGGAGGCCCCACACAGAATCCTTACTGGGGTGTTGCCCCCTGAAGCTGTGAGAAGAGGTCCACCATCCTCCAGACCCCAGAATGGTAAAACCACCAACAGCTTGAACCATGGGCCTGGAAAAGCCACACACACTCAATGTCAGCCTGTGAAAGCAGCCAGGAGGGAGACTGTACCCTGCAAAGCCACAGGGATGGAGCTACCCAAGACCATGGGAACCTACCTTTTGCATCAGCGTGACCTGGATGTGAGACACGGAGTCAAAGGAGATCATTTTGGAGCTTTAAGATTTGGCTGCCCTGCTGGATTTTGGACTTGCAGGGCCCTGTAACCCCTTTGTTTTAGCCAATTTCTCCCATTTGGAACAGCTGTATTTACCTAATACCTGTACCCACATTGTATCCAGGAAGTAACTAGCTTGTTTTGATTTTACAGGCTTATAGGTGGAAGAGACTTGCCTTGTCTCAGATGAGACCTTAGATTGTGGACTTTTGAGTTATTGTTGAAATAAGTTAAGACTTTGGGGTACCCTTGGGAAGGCATGATTGGTTTTGAAATATCAGGACATGAGATTTGGAGGGGCCAGGAGCAGAATGATATGGTTTGGCTGTGTCTCCAATCAAATCTCAACTTGAATTTTATCGCCCAGAATTCCCATATGTTGTGGTAGGGACCCAGGGGGAGGTAATTGAATCATGGGGACTGGGCTTTTCCATGCTATTCCCAGGGTAGTGAATAAGTCTCATGAGATCTGATGGGTTTATCAGGAGTTTCTGCTTTTGCTTCTTCTTCATTTTCTCTTGGTGCCGCCAGGTAAGAAGTATCTTTCACCTCCTGCCATGATATTTGAGGCCTCCCCAGCCATGTGGAACTATAAGTCCTATTAAACCTCCTTTTCTTCCCAGTCTTGGGTATATCTTTATCAGCAGTGTGAAACTGGCCTAATATAACACCAGTGATCTTATAATATTTGAAGTATCAACTACAAAGCTACAAACTGAATGAAGGCTCCAGGAAAGCAGTTCTACAGCAACAGAAGCTAGGCTATTTCACCTGAGAGTTGCTTGAAGACACCTTTCAGTAGTGTATTTTAAATAGACAATTAGGCAGTTATTTAAGAATAGGCAGAACTGTACTTACCACCAAAGGATGTTAAATAACACTAAGAGAACAAAGTCAGTCATCTCTTGCATGATTCTAAAAAAATATTTTAAGAAAACTGAGGTACTTAAAATAATTATATTTCAATAATATGTAAAAAGAATTTGATATTAACTGTATGGGCCTCTGAATTTTAGATAGTGTTTTTGAGCCAATTTACCTATGGCAATGGTTGATTAACTGAGAAGAATTAAGCTCACAAGTGTAAAACCATCTGTTCAGCTGCAGAAAGACCCATGCAAATCAGTCCAACAAGCTGGATTTAAAGCAGTGTGGCTCTCTGTACTTATCCAATTCACGTATTATGATTCTGAAATTGGGCCGGAAGGAATAGAGCGTTAAAAGGGATCTTGTTTGGGAATAGGCAACATCATGGCCTTTTTATGTCAATGTTAACAAACCAGTCACATCTGTAGGAGGGAATTGCTGGAGACTGGAACAAAACAATTGATCCTTTACTGCAGCCTGTGTAGGTGGCAATTATTTGCAGCAATGAGATGAGCAGATGCCAGTGCACACAATGTGCTAAAGGTTCAATGGCAGTATACTCCCCTGCTGTAATCTAAAGCCATGCCCAGTGTTCAGAATTTTCTGGCATTTTATCAGCAATGACACATTTGCCTTCAGTCTGTGGAAAGATCCAGAGAACATCAGCATGTTTAAAGTCAATTTTGACTAGTACTGATACTTCAACGGGTTTGAGCTTCAGCTGATAGAGCCTACTCTGTAATTGAACTTGCTTAGACTTCTCTTACTGAATGGTGAATTGTCACAAAGTTTGAAGTTTAAAAAAAAATAGAAAATCATTATTCTATAGTTTCCATGGGCTACAGTGTGGCACATTTTAGTTGGGTATCTGGTTCAAGTGTTCACCAGCCTTGTTCTCATACGGAAGCTGGACTAGGGAATGCTTCTTCGGACTGTTGACAGAATTTATTTCCTTGCAGTTGTGGAACTTTCCAGCCCCCATGATTCAGTTACCTCCTCCTGGGTCCCTCCCACAACATGTGGGAATTCTGGGAGATACAATTCAAGTTGAGATTTGGTTGGAGACACAGCCAAACCATTATCATTCCGCTTCTGGCCCCTCCAAATCTCATGTCCTCATATTTCAAAACCAATCATGCCTTCCCAATAGTACCCCAAAGTCTAACTAACTAACTAACTAACTAATTTCAGCATTAACCCAAAAGTCCCCATTGTGCTGCTGGCTGTGGGTCTAGCACTTCTCTCGGTTCCACCACTTTCAAATGAGTTCAATAGTAATGGCCCCTCTTCATCTCAGCTGGGGAGAATCTCTCTCACAAGAAATCTGTCTCAAGCTCTCTGACTTCTTCCACAGCCAGTATAAGGCAAACTCTTTAAAGGATTTATGTGATCAAATTAGGCACATGCAGATAATCTTTCTTTCTAAATGTCACCTATGCCATATACCATAATCATGGGAGTAAACCCCATCATATGAACAGTCCCAGGGATTATGTAGGACAAGGAACAGGAAGCCTTGGGGAGCTCCTGTGAATAATGCCTACCACAGAATCTATGGCAAATACAACAATATAAACTAAAATTCTAAATTGTCTACCAAAAGAGATCACTGACTTACATTTTAGCAGGCCAGGAAACATGTCTTAGAGCCCAGAGTATGTGGAAGCAGTGCACATATCTTTAACATTTTATATTTATATTACCCAAAAAGGAATTAAAGTGACATTTTATGTTATGTTACCCAATAAGGAATAAACAGCATACAAATGGAGTGGGAAACTGAAACAAATGCAACAGAATACAGGTGTAAGAAGCTGGAATGAGGGAGACAAGGGCTTGCCTTGACAGAAGAATGTGATGTGATCAATCTAAATTTATGGGCTTACAAGGGAGTGTTGCTTTTTGAATGTATCCCAGACGATACAGTTGAAATGGCTAGAGTGAGAATGAGTTATATAACTGACAGCAAAATACAAAAAAAAAAAAACTACCTTTTGAGAAAACATTTTATTTGAGTTATGATTATTTCAGTACTAATAATTATAATGCATTTCCCAAGACAGGCACAAGAGAATCCCAAACAACTGTGATTATCATCTGAAAGTGATTCATTACTGCGTGGTGCACTGGGATGAAGAACCTAAAGTGACCAGATGAAAGTGTAAAGGCTGAATATTTTTTTAAAAATGTTGCAGCTGCATCTTCATTTTTCCTTAGTCCTGTCTGCTCCTACTCCTTTATTTCCCTTGGACTTCCCTATTTAGTTGAAGCCTTTGCCATCTCATGCCCACCTGCTCTAAATCCAAATTATCTTCCATCTCCTCTTTTTGTGCAGGGAACTAGAAAACCATTTGCCCCTCATCTACAAAGGGAAAGCTAATAAATTCATATCAGTTTATTATGTTGTGAAAGTAAACTCATGGAAACTCTCCCTTCATTTTCCTTTGTATTCCATGTGACAGCCCTCTCTGTTCCCTTTTAGAACTGAGGTTCTCAAGAGAATTTTCCTCATATGGTTGTTTAAGTGCTAAATTATATGGTATATTAAACTATGTCAAGCTGTCTAACACAGAATAAGAGAAAAAGGAATGGAAATAAAATTAATATATGATGTATAAATTGTTAGATTTTAGGGATTCAAATGAAAAATAAACCCACCACTGCCTCTAAGTTAGAGAAAAGATTTCCCATCTCAAAAGTATGAAGATTTCTTCAGGAATCATCCTTGCAGGAGGAACCTGCAAGGACAATTTGAAGAATAAGATTTCTTCCGGAATTATTTACCCTTTCCTTCTGGTGGGATTTGGGAGTGTTGGACCCGGTGGGGAAGGAGGGGTTGCTTCCTAGTTCCAGGCACTTGTAGCATAATCCCCCTTGCTAGCCTGCTAGTTTCTCCACTGGAGAAACTCCTGCCACCTCCTCTGCAAGAAGCAGTGGAAGCCCCAGATGCCTAAGACAAAACGCAAAAAACCAAATAGCAAAGCAAAGTTCTGGAAATTAGATTTACAAAGGGACCACAGCCCACAGCCCACAAAAATGGGTCAGGATCTGTGTGATAAACAGCCTGCTAAAATTATTAAGAAAAGAATGAATAGGATCCAGAGTCTCTGAACACAATAGCCAAAATGTCCAAAGTAAAGTTGAGAATCACTTGAGAATCACTCATCATACTAGGGACTGAAAAAAAATGTCAACTTGAGAAAGAAAAGACAATCAAATGAAGCCATCACTGAGATGAAAGCAGCTATCAAAAAATATGTAAACAAACAATTAAAAATTATCTTGATGTGAAAAAATAGAAAATCTTAGCAAAGAAATATAAATTTTAAAGTGAACTAAATTGAAATTATTTCAATTTGAAAAACGAGATAAATTATAAGAATGTGTTATTTTGGTTAACAGCAGAGTAAAGATGACAGAGAATAGAATCAATGAACTTTTGGGCAAAACAATGTAATTTACCCAATCTGAACAACAGAGGAAAAAAAGAAGACTGAAAAAAGAAACAGAGCCTCAGGAAAAAAAAAAAGAAAAGAAAAGAAAAGAAAAGAAAAGAAAGAAAAAACAAAAAGAGCGGAGCCTCAGAAACAGTGAGACAATAGCAAATTTTCCAACATTTGTACTATGAAGGCTCTGAAAGAAACAAAAGACTGGAGCATGAGATCAGCCGGCCGGGCGCGGTGGCTCACACCTGTAATCTCAGTACTTTGGGAGGCCGAGGCGGGCGCATCACGAGGTCAGGAGATCGAGACCATCCTGTCTAACACGGTGAAACCCCATCTCTACTAAAAATACAAAAAATTAGCCGGGCGTGGTGGCGGGCGCCTGTAGTCCCAGCTACTCTGGAGGCTGAGGCAGGAGAATGGCGTGAACCCGGGAGGCGGAGCTTGCAGTGAGCCGAGATCGCGCCACTGCACTCCAGCCTGGGCGACAGAGCCAGACTTCGGCTCAAAACAAAACAAAACAAAACAAACAAACAAAAAGAGATCAGCCAAAGAAAATAATGACTGAAAACTTAAACTTTCCCCAATCTCGTGAAAGACATAAACCCACGCATGCAACACGCAAACCTGAAACAAAGTAAAACCAACGAAATGCACACCAAGTCGCATCCCTGCCAAAATCTCATCTTGAATTGTAATCCCCAGTGTTGGGGCTGGGGCCTGGTGGAAGGTGATAAGATCAGGAGGGCGGATTTCCCCGAGTGCTGTTCTCTTGATAGTGAGTGAGTTCTCTTGAGATCTGGTTGTTTAAATGTATAGAGCACTTGCCCCCTCCCTCTCTTCCTCCTTCTCCAGCCGTGTTAAATGTGCCCGTTTCCCCTTTGCCTTCTGCGATGATTATACGTTTCTTGAAGGCCTCCCAAGCCGTGCTTCCTGTACATCCTGCAGAACTGTGAGTCAGTTAAACCTCTTTTCTGAATAAATTACCCAATCTCAGGTAATTCTTTATAGCAATGCAAGAACAAGCTAACATACCAAGAAATATTATAACTCAGCTTCTGAAATAAAGACAAAAAAAAAAGTCTTAAAAGCAGCCATAGATAAATGACATGTGACTTATAGGGGAACATCATCAAGTCTCATGACTGGATTTCTCATCTAAAACCAGGAGGAAGTGGCATATTCATTCCAGTGATGTTAGAAAAGAACTATCAATTGTGGATATTCTGTAACTTTTGAAACTATCCTTCAAAAACACGGGGGAAATAATAACATTCTCAGACAAAAAAAAACCTACAAGAATTTGTACTATCAGACCTACTCTTAAAGAATGACTAAATGATGTTCTTGCAACACAAAGAAAGGAGAAAATAGGAATCTCAAAGCATCAGAGAAGAAATAACAATTAAACAAGTAGAAATATGTGTAAGTACAACTAACCATCCTCCTCCTAAGTTTGAAAAAATAATATGTGATGACTGAAACAAAAATTATATAACACAATCAAATCTCAAGATAATGATATTTAATAGTGGGTAAGGTAAGTGGATCTAAATGAAGTAAGGCTTCCACACCCCACTCAGAGTGATAAAATGTTGATACCGGTTGACTGTGATACATAGCATATGTGAATTGCAATGTACAGAACAACTACTAAAGAAACTATATCAAGACAGAATTCCCTCAAATATTCTAGTAACCCCAAAAAAGACAAGAAAAGGGACACATTTTTTTTCATAATAGCCAACAACTAGAACCAACCCAGATGTCCTTCAATGAGTGAACTGTTTAAAAACTGTGGTATATTCATACCATGAAATACTCCTTAGTAATATGAAAGAACAAATTAGGACATGTGAATCATCTTGGATGAATTTCCATGGAATTACGCTGAATTGAATAAATCAATCCCAAAGTTTACTTATTGTAAGGTTCCATTTATGTAGCATTATTAAAATGACAACATTGTAGAAATGGAGAACTGATTCATGCTTGCCAAGGGTTAGAGATAAGCAGACAAAAGTTGATGTGACTATGAAACAGTGACAGAAAGTATCCCTGTGGTGATGGAATTATTCTATATTTTGACTGTATCAATGTCAGTATCCCTGCTATAATATTGTACTATAGTTTTACAAGATGGCGCCATTGGAGAAAAGTGAGTAAAAGACTCACAAGCAATCTGTATTATTTCTTATAATTGAGTATTTTATGATAATTGATGGAATCCCGTATACAATTTACCTCCATCTCCCATGTTTTCATGAGTTGTTTTCTTATACCTGTTTTTACTTTATATATTCATTGTGCCAACTGAACATCCTCAGATACACTCTATGTTTGAAATAAAGATTGTTCTGAATCTCATGAAACTGCAAAAGCTATTGATTTTTCACAAAGAGCTTAAAGATAGCATCCGAAATCCCTGTGGAAAATATGCCTGGAGACCGAAGTGTAATTTTCATAAGTCCAAACATTTGTTGAATTGAGGTGACTCTGTGAATCAAACATGAAGCCTGACTCTCCTCCTCTCTCAAGTGAAAATACTGTTTTCAAAAATACTTGTTTTTCAAAGAGAAAAGCATATCTAGATGAAAAATGTAGATATGAAAACCTAGAAATGACACAGGAAAAAATGCTGAAATTACAATTGTCTCATAGTCTGTAATGTTTTAACTAAGCTTGTTTCATTAAAAATATTTATGAAATAAGAATATGTGGATTGTTGTAAAGAACATGAATTTTTTTCTATCAGAAATGTTCAAGTAATTCAGCAATCTGCCTGAGCATTCATCCCCGATTCCCAAACTTCTTAATGTTCCGTGATTGCTTAGAAGATAATAATCCATCTCTTTAATATACAAATGGTCAATAAACATATGAAAAGATGTTCCACATCACTAATTATCAGGGAAATGCAAATCAAAACCACAATGCAATACCAACTTACTTCTGCAAGAATAGCCATAATTTAAAAATAAAAAAATAATAGAAGTTTGCATGGATGAGGTGAAAAGGGAACAGTTTTATACTACTGGTGGGAATGTAAACTAGAACAACAACTTTGGAAAGCAATATGGAGATTCCTTAAAGAACTAAAAGTAGATCTACTATTTATCCAACTATCCCACTACTGAATATCTACCCATAGGAAAATAAGTCATTATATGAAAAAGACACTTGCACACACATATTTATAGCAGCACAATTCACAATTGCAAAAACATGCAACCAGTCTAAATGCCCATCAACCAATGAGTGGATAAACCAAATGAAAGATATACATATATACACACATATATACATACACATATATACACACACACACATATATATATATATACACACACATATGTATGTTATGTATGTCCATACACACCATGGAATACTACTCAACCATGTAAAGGAATGAAATAATGGCATTCAAAGCAACCTGGATGGAGTTGGAGACCATTATTCTAACTGAAGTAACTCAGGAATGGAAAACCAAACATAGGCTCTCACTTATAAGTGGGAGCTAAATATTATGATGCAAAGGCATAAAAATGATATAATGGGCTCTGGGGACTTGGGGGAAAGTGTGAGGGGAGGTGAGGAATAAAAGACTACACTTTGGGTACAGTGTGCACTGCTTGGGTCTCAGGTGCACCAAAATCTCAGAAATCACCACTAAAGAATTTATCCATGTAACCAAACACCACCTGTTCCCCCAAAACTACGGATATAATAATTTTTAAAAACTGAAGAAATAAGGTAGATGTGAGTTTTCATATTACAGAGAACATGTACCATATATACTGATATATAAGCAGCCAAAAATTAAATACAAAAATAACAAGAATACAGATACATATTCTTTCAAAACCTAAATAATATGCTAGATAACATTTCAGATGATCAACTCTCATAATATTTTTTTATTACAGTCGACTTTCTAGTGGTTTCAGTCATTTTGACACTTATCAACTTTGGAGGAATCTTGAAGCATCACCACATTCATGTAGTTACTGATTTATTGATGCTATTATTTGTTAAACAAATACATATTTCCTATCTGCAGTATACAGTGATCCCTAAGGAGAAGAACATTAAGTGCTTGTTAAAATATCCACAGACCTAGATAGAATGCATTATATATGTGAAAATCTTGCTGTCATCTAGAGGGAGGAATTATTTCTAATAGGACTGGGAAACGATTAGAAGAGAAGGAGATTAATTTATTTTAAAAGTAGATGTAGTGTAAATATGACCAAGAAAAACATTACTACATAGGCTACCCTTTTCCCCAAGCAGTTACTAGGTGTGTCTACTGAACTATCTAATAGATAAAGGCAAATGGCCTCAAATATTTAACTTGTATAGAAATACATACTTCTCTGCAAGCAGAGATACACATGTATTAACATAATGTAACTCAAATGTACAATCAAAAATATATTTACTGTACAACTTATAAATGCAAGTCTATAAGTACATGGGAGTGATCAAATAAAGATGACCCAGTTATAAATAAACTACAACAACAAAAATTTTGAAAATAACAAAGCACCCAGCAGAAAGTCTCAGTGTACATGGTGTCAGAATCTATGGTAACTATAAGTTAGCTATTGATAGTTTAGGGAGGGCATGTCTACATTTTCTCTGCATCATATTAAGAGAACTCAAATCACATAAAACTTCAGCCTTAATTAAAGTAACTCTATGATATATGATGTTCTTTTATTTTTATAATAGTTGAAAATTGCATTATACTCACACTACCAAGGCAAGCATTTTTTAGCAAATGCATCTCAATAGCATCTTTCTGAATTTTACTTTAAAATTTTAATGTAATTATTTAAGGTATGCTTATGCACAAAGAGGGAAATGTTTTTACTTTATTATTTAAAAATTGTAATGCAATATACATTATTCCAAATTGACAGCTTTTCCCCCATGACTACCTACATAATTGGTTTGAAATGAAAAGGTAAAGACATTTAAAGGGCTTTTCTTTTACAGAAACTTAAAGTGATACAGCTGTTTCAGCTAGGGCAAATGATTATAAATTATTAGTGTCAATCAAAGACGTGATTTCCATTTCCTGATTAAATCTATACAAAAGATCTTCAAACACACAGTTCGGCTGCCACCAAATGACAAATCAATCAGAAAAGACAATACAAGTGAGTGATTAGGCTGCAGGAAAAAGACAATAGTATGTGGGTGGCATTTTCTCCCTCATTCAAAGCCCTATTATTAATCAGAAAATGTGAGTGGCCGTTTATTGCATCTACTTTTATTTAAACATTAAAAGGTTTCAATATGAACATTCTATATCCTAAGACATTGAAACAACAAAAGAAATGGCTTCAATGGCTTTTAAATATGTTGGCTTAAGAGAACAATGTAGGTTTACTCAAATGCATTAAAAAATGTGAGTGGGTAGCAATTGCTTTGAAGCAAAAAAAAAAAAAAAACCCTACAGATGACTTAATTAAAGAACAAAAATGTCAAGCTTTTTCCATGTTTTCTAGATTGATTTACACCCTTATCAAGTTGGTTGTCATGTCCAATAGAGTTTGGTTTCCATCACTAAACTCAACAGACTTTAGGCACCAAAACATGAAATTTGAAAAAATGTTAGCAGCATTGAATTCAGAGCTTAGAGAGAAACTTTGATTTTAAAGAATTAAGCATATATTCTTTTCAATTTCATCAGTAAATTTTTTGATAAGTCATAAACCTCTTGACATATTTAAGTCTAAAGCATTTAAGCTTGTAAATGTTCTGAATAATGTTATATACTATATATATACCTACATATACATGTATATATGTATATATCTGAATGTTATATATTACATATATATAACTACATATATATGTATATATGTAGGTATATATAATATATATGTAGGTATATATGTATATATGTATATATATGTAGGTATATATAATATAATATATATGTAGGTATATATATAATATATAACATTATTTATATATACCTACATATATATCTCTATATATGTGTATATATATGTAGGCATATATAAATAATATCTGGATATGTAGGTATAATCTCTAGATTTAATACTTTAAAATATTAGGTATATAGGTATAATCTACATATTTAGTACTTTATTTTAGAATGCAATAGGTATTTTGATGTCTAATTTATGAATGATTTAAACTTATCCTCAGAAAAGCATTGGCAATAGATAGGTACTCAAAATACTTTAAAAAGCAATTATCAAAATAAGTATTTCCATTCAAATTTATAACTGTAAAGTGTTTTTTTTTAAAGGTACTCACTAATTTATGCATCTAATATATTGAGTAGTTTTAAACTTAATACAATTTTTCCTCTTTATCCCTGGAGAATTGCTTCCAGGAACCTCTTCCGATGCCAAAATTCAAGGCTGTTCAAATCCCTTACATAAAATGATGCAGTATTTCTTATAACCTACACGCATCCTCCCACGTACTTTAAATCATCTCTTGATTACTTGTAATACCTAATGTAATGTAAATGCTATGTGAATAGTTGTTATATGGTATTTTTCATTTGTATTGCTCTGTTTTTTTTTCAAGTATTTTTAATCCATGGTTGGATGCATCTGCAGGTGCAGAACCCATGGACACGGAGAGCCAACTGTGTATGTATACAATTACTTTCTGACGTATTTATGAAATAAAAATAATATTAATACATTAGAAGTAGTATAAACTAAACCTCCATAGTAGTAATACTTCAGAATATATTGTTGTTCTCCTTTTATAGATCAGATGCCTAGCAAAACCTTGTGAAAGTTGTACAGCATACTAGTGGCTGGTGTTAAGTTTTAATTATCCACGTATCTGTTTTTAACATTCAAAGATTACATAGCAATTTTTCTAGAAATGTGGGCTAATTAGTGACACTTGATATAAATGAGGAAATTCAATTGCATTTTTTTCTTGAGATACAGAAAATGCCAGCATTCTCCTCGTTATATTCTGTACTCCCGTCCCCATCTACCATTTTTTTAATTGGGCTGTAGAATGATCAACGTCACACCAAGCCAATTTATCCACCATTGACCTACGTAACTGTTTTTGTTATTTTTTGCAGCTTTGAATGTGAGAATAAAAGCATTTAAAAAAACCTTCAGTGTCATTACTTTGATGCTTCTCTGAAATGCTGTTAATTTTTTCCTCTAGACAAATCACTAGGGAATAGCAGTAATGAACTTCCCAGGCTTTATATATCTAGCTCTCAAGTGAATTTTGAACGTTCATGTGTGGGCAAAAATGTGTGTTTTTGCACATAATTTAGAAAAAAAAGTGATTGTGTGTTTTTACCACCAATGACTCCAAAACTAATCAATATATTTTATATAATGTTATTTCAATGTTTTATTTAAATTTCCAAATAGATATATTTGTTATATAAAATCTACTCACCATTAACTCTACCAAGAACATATAGCAGAATATATACTTCATGTGAAGATAGATATTAACTTCCATGGTTTCTAATTTAACCACACTTATCCTGGTAATGGACATAGAGCAGGGACAAATTTTGCCTTGTTACTTAGTTACTAACTTTCCTTAAAAGAAAAGCTTTTAGTCAAAATATTTTTACCTCCGTAAATAACTATTTTGAATAAAATATATTCAAAATTTAACTCGATCAGGCTTTTATGTGCACCATTTATTATGCAGAAAAATATTTTCACTCAATCTTTTTGTTTCAAAAACAAACTTTACAAAAGGCTTACTTAGCATCAAAAATTAGATTTTGTAGTAGATTGCACTATTTTAAGATAATATGCCTTCTTCTTTCTTCCTAGAGAATTATATTTATCTCATCCACATCTGGCTTGGTTATGAAATGTTATCTGTTATATGCACCTCTGAGCAGAAACTTTCAAGTTCATTGATTAGTTTCAACAAGTTCTCTTTTTTCTGAGCCATAATAAATGCAAAGTCCCAGATAGGGGCTATTCTTTTAGCCTCAGCTTCCAAATTATGAATAAACCATAGCAGAGTTCCAGCCTGCCCAGCATAGATACAGACATTTTTTGTTTTTGTTGGAAGTCTCTGAGGTTTAGAGTTGTTTATCATCAAAATGATTCTAGAATAAACTGATAGATACAGCTAAAAGAGAAAAACTAAATTGTTACTCTTCCCTCTCTCTGGGCACTCAAAATTTATATTGTCTTAACAAAATAACATTTAGTTACATTGCATACATAGCAATATATTTTCTATCATAGCAATACGTATTTGAGTACCTACTATTTGCAAAAACAAACAAACAAACAAAAAACTGGATTAAGTGTGTAAATTATTTGTAAAGGATAAGTAGCCATAGTTGTGAACAGGACCTAATACTACAGTTTGTGTAATAAGACAGGAACATGGAGTGTAAGAATGTCACAAGGCAATGTGTGATTCCTTTCCAATTAAGTTTTGTAAAGGAGGCTCCCATGAATTGGAGACTTCTTTGTCAAATATTCCTGAACAATGTGGGAAATTAACAGTACATTAAGTGATGGTAAATTTTAGATTTGGGGTGGAAAATACATTTAGTGGCTAACAGAGTGAAGAAATGCACAGAAATGAGAAGGAATGAGGTCTGCTCAAGGCTAAACTTTTGGAGGCTCTTTGGGACAGTCATTGAATGAAAGACTGGAAACTGTCTTTGGATCCTGATTTCCCCAACTGTTCTGCTAAAAAACACTATTCAATAAGTATACTCCAAAATTTGAGTTATTTTCCAATTAGTGGAAAATACAGAAATAGGAAAATGAAGAACAGTTGTATTCATGCTGAGCTCCCCACATAATTTAATATACTGATATACATTGTGAATCTCCACTATGTGAATAACAGTATGATATGGTTTGGCTGTGTCCCTACCCAAATCTCATCTTGAATTGTAGTTCCCATAATCCCCACATGTCATGGGAGGGACCTGGTGGGACGTAATTGAATCATGGGGGTTGTTACCTTCATGTTTTTCTTGTGATCATGAATTCTCATGAGATCTGATGATTGTGTAAGGGCTTTTCCCCCTTTTGCTCAGCACTTCTCCTTCCTGCCATCATAAGAAGAAGGATGCATTTGCCTCACTTTCTGCGGTAAGTGTAAATTTCCTGAGGCTTCCCCAGCCATGTGGAACTGTGAGTCAATTAGACATCTTTGCTTTATAGATTACCCAGTCTCAGGCAGTCCTTTATAGCAATGTGAGAATAAACTAATATAGTAAATTGGTACTGGAAGTGGGGCACTGTGATAAAGATAACAGAAAATGCAGAGGTAACTTTGGAACTGGGCAACAGGCAGAGGCTGGAACAGTTCGCGGGGCTCAAAAGAAGACAGAATGATATGTGCAAGTTTGGAACTTCCTAGAGACTTGTTGAATGGCTTTGAGCAAAATGCTAATAGTGATATGGACAATGAAGTCCAAGCTGAGGTGGTCTCAGGCAGAAATGAGGAACTTCTTGGGAACTGGAGCAAAGGTGGTTGTTTTTGTGCTTTAGCAAAGAGACCGGCAGCATGTTGCCCCTGCCCTAGAGATTGTGAAACTTTGTACTTGAGAGAGATGATTTACGGTATCTTGCAGAAGAAATTTCTAAGCATCAAAGCATTCAAGAGGAAGCAGAACATAAAGGATTGGAAAATTTGCAGCCTGACAATGCAATAGAAAAGAAAACCCCATTTTCTGGGGAGAACTTTAAGCCTGATGCAGAAATTTGCATAAGTAATGATGAGCTGAATATTAATCAGTAAGACAATGGGGAAAATGTCCCCAGGGCATGTGAGAGAACTTCACAGCAGCCCCTCTCATCACAGGCCCAGAGGCCTAGGAGGAAAAAATGGTTTCTTCAGCAGGTCCAGGGCCCCCCTGCTGTGTGCAGCCTCTGGATTGCTTTCCTGCCACTCCAGCCAAGTAAAGGGGCTCAGAATGTTACTTCAGAGGTGCAAGCCTCCAGCCTTGGCAGCTTCCACATGGTGTTGGTCCTGCATGTGTGCAGAAGACAAGAATTAAGGTTTGGGAATCT
Organism: Homo sapiens; assembly: GCF_000001405.40. NCBI lineage: Eukaryota > Metazoa > Chordata > Mammalia > Primates > Hominidae > Homo > Homo sapiens. The sequence continues at coordinate 80,668,483 of NC_000003.12, forward strand.
CTGCCTAGATTTCAGAGAATGTATGGAAACACCTGGATGTCGAGGCAGAAGTCTATTGCAGAGGCAGAGCTCTCATGGAGAACTTCTGCTAGGGCGGGGGGAAGGGAAATGGGGTCAGGGCCCCCTCACAGAGTCCCCACTGGGGCACTGCCTGGTGGATCCATGAGAAGAGGGCAACCTTTCTCTAGGCCCCATAATGGTAGATCCACCAACAGCTTGTATTGTGCACCTGGAAAACCCAAAGACACTCAATGCCAGCCTGCAAAAGCAGCTAAGAGGGGAGCTGTAACCTGAAATGTCACAGGGGTGGAGCTACCCAAGGCCACGTAAGCTCACCTCTTGCATCAGCGTGCCCTGGATGTGAGACATGGAGTCAAAGGAAATCATTCTGGAACTTTAAGGTTTAATGACTGCCCTCTTGAATTTCAGAGTTGCATGGGACCTGTAGCCCTCGTGTTTTGGCCAGTATCTCCCCTTTTGAACAGGTATATTCACCCAATGCCTGTACTCCCATTGCATCTAGGAAGTAACTAACTTGCTTTTGATTTTTCATGAGCATAGGTGGAAGAGACTTGCCTTGTCAGAGATGAGACTTTGGACTTGAGTATTTGAGTTAATGATTAAATGAATTAAGACTTTGAGGGAGTGTTGGAAAGGCTTAATTGTGTTTTGACATGTGAGGACATGAGATATGAGAGGGGCCTGGGGCATAATGATATGGTTTGTCTGTGTTCACACCCAAATCTCATCTTGAATTGTAGTTCCCATAATCCCCACGTGTCATGGCAGGGATCCAGTGGGACATAATTGAATCATTGGGGTGGTTACCCCCATGCCGTTCTCATAATAGTGAGTTCTCTTGAGGTCTGGTGGTTTTATAAGTGTTTCTTTCCCCTTTTGCTCAGCACTTCTCCTTCCTGCCATCTTGTGAAGAAAGATGTGTTCGCTTTCACTTCTGCCATGATTGTGAATTTCCTGAGGCCTCCCCAGCCATGCAGAACTGTGAGTCAATTAAACCTCTTTCCTTTAAATATCCACTCATGGGCAGTCCTATATAGCAGCATGAGAATGAACTAATACACGGTTTCAGTCTTTTTTCTAAGATTACACGACCACAAACAACTTCTCACATTGCATCTTTGTTAATATTCCCTGAAACTACTCTATTTGAAACCCAATTAGGAAATTACTGTAGCAAAATTTTCAATAATTTGTGAAATAATAATTAGGTGCTTAATTCTTTACAGTATTGGATTTCAAACTTTTCAAGTATGAGGGTTTTAAAAATAAAAAATAATTTTATGCCCCCCCCATAAAATAGTAGTTGGACTGGATGTGTGATTAAAAGTATTCATAGCTGAACTGAAATTCCTAAGTTTACATATTCCCAATTTACTACTTAGATGTGTTAACACTGTGCAACGAAGTTATTTAACTTCTCTTTACTTCACTTTCTCAACTGCAAATTAAAAATAGCAATCGGGCCGGGCATGGTGGCTCACATCTGTAATCCCAGCACTTTGGGAGGCCGAGGCGGGTGGATCACCTGAGGTCAGGAGTTCTAGACCAGCCTGGCCAACATGGTGAAACCTCATCTCTACTAAAAATACAAAAATTAGCTGGGCATGGTGGCACACGCCTGTAATTCCAGCTACTTGGGAGGCTGAGGCAGGAGAATTGCTTGAACCTGGGAGGTGGAGGTTGCAGTGAGACAAGATCGTGCCACTGCACTCCAGCCTGGGCAACAGAGCAAGACCCTGTCAAAAAAAAAAAGAAAAAAAAGAAAATAGCAATCATATGTGTATCATTCTCAATCACGTGTCTGTGTGTGCATTTGTTGAGTGGTTGTATTTGTGAATTTGTGTGTGTGCCTGTGAGTGTGCTAGGAATATAGGTAAAACTGACTATTGAGAACTATGTATAATATCCACAAGTTAAAAATTAAGCAACTTATAAAATGAATATTTGATTAACATCAACCCACATATTTGGAATATAATAGCGCCTACTTGTGCAAGATATTTATTTAGTCTGCCTTCAGTACATGGTGTCTACATGAATTTACAATTCTTTGTAACACTCTGGGGAGTAACTCAGCCATTTGAGAGTGACTGAAGGTTTTTGAAAAGAGAAATGACAGAAAGAAAGGTATATTTAACACAATAAATTTTCTGGGAAGAATGTAGAGAAGATTCAGTCAATGAGAGAGAGGTGGCAATGAGATCAGTGGAAAAACTCTCATATTCCCCAAGGGCTGTGTGCATGTAAGCATTATTTCACTAAAACATCAATAAATGGCTTCAAGGCAAGAATTTTATCATATGCTTTAAAAATGGTCAACTCTTTTCAGCATAAATGAAATAAATCAAGTCCAAAAAAGGTCTAAAAGGAAGCACAGAAAGAGAGGTAAAAGAGAAAGTTAGGAGATATCTTATTTCTAATATATAAAGCTGATGCTGATGCCATTCTTCACCAGCACTGCTCAATATTGTGGCCTTGAGTGGCCCATATCCAGGCCAATAAAGGAAACTTTGATATGAAATGAAAGATGAAGAAAGATGTATCAACTATAAGTCCCTGCCTTAAAAGAGCTATTATGGGTTCCTAACAGATTGCTTACCTAACCTGTAATCCAAGTCATTGGGATAACATTTATATTCAAACAGCATTTGAAGTGCAGAATATATGGACCATACCTGAATTTAGTATTTTTTCAACATGTTTCTAAAGCAGATGATTTGGTGCAATGCCAGCTTACATGTGGGGATAAAGAAAAGTCTATGGATTGAACCTGTATGCATTTTTGCTGAAATATGGATTAAAATCAGAAAATAGGTTAAAATTCAGGGGAAATCAGGTTAAATGAAATTTAGATAAATTATATCAAAAATGTAACAATTTCTCAGAGAGATAACATAATGCTTATTGCAGTATTGCTAAATCCCAGGTTTGTTAATTAATAGATAAAGAAATCTACTTTAATTGCATCTAATTAAGATAATTTAGACTCCAGAGTATTCTGTGTTGTTGCAGAAAAGAAAGTAAGAATGAAGACTAATGGTAGAGAACGTAGGTCTCTCTGCTTTTGCAGATACATGTTATAACTAATAATTTTAAATATTTAAATACTTTAATTAGAAAATTTTAAGTAAATAGTTGAATTAGAAACGTTTAAGAGCATTATAATTTTATCACCAATGCTTTTTTAAAAAAATAAACACATCTACAGCCCATATGTTATTATAATGTATTGAATACTTAATAATCTGTTTTTAATTACTTCTGTTACATCAAAATGAGTCTTTACTGACAATGTGTCTCACTAAAGTTAAATATGAGATTTGTTTTAGAAATATCTGTGTGCAAGCCATACATTTTCATGACTCACCTCAGGTTAAAGGAGGTAGTGCACATGCAGGGAACCCAATAAAGGACAAATTACCAAGCAGAAGAAATTCTAGTACATGCAGCTAGGATCTGTTTCATCTGAAGGAGTCATGGCATACAAGGCAATACAAGGCAAAACTAGAGACCCATCTTCAAAAGGTATCTTTGCTATTCAAGGCCTAATGGTGCTAGCTCACAAATGACTTCTGTTCAATCTACTGTTTCTCTTTGGCCCCTTCCATGTATTTGTCCACATTACAGTATAAGCGGACTTGTAATTCTATCAAAAAAGGAGTCAATGAGTTAGAACAATTTCCCTTAAATAGAACTGCGATAATGACATATTTCATAACAGACATACCATACATATAATTTTATCAAGATAGAATGATCTGCTCCTTATTATACTTCTAAAATACTCAGATATTTTAAAAAGCTCAATAGAGTATCTTCATCACTCCTACAATAAATGTAGTCCCTAAAACCCAGCATCACAGGTAATTTTAAGTATTCCTTTTTATTTTAACAGAAAGCTGAGAAACAAATAATTTCAATTAGAAATTTCAGTATAATAAAGTGAAAGATCTGTCAGAATTTTTGTTTTAATTAAAATCGAAGAAACAGATAGCCCATCATTTATATTTAGCTTCATTCTTTCCAAAGAAGAAAAAGAAAGAAAAGTAGAGAAAAAGGAGAGTAGGAGGAAAGGAAGGAGGGAAGGAGTAGGGCAGAGGAAGAGAGAAAGAGAGGAAGAGAGGAAAGGAGGAAGGGAAAAAGTAAGAAAAAATGATTTTGGTGCTTTAATTTTAGCACTATAAAGCAGGACACTCTCTCAGAATTGCTGATGTGGTTTCCTTATCTCTAGGTGCAAGACAATAGAAAGAGTCCTATAAGCCTTTTTGGTAAAGTGCTCTAGCACTTTCTAACTATTAAAAAACCTGCAGATATTAAAAAATTATCTGATTTATTGTTATTTCTAAAATTAAATTCACACACAAAAATGGAACTTGCTATAATCCACTGAGGAATGGAAATGACATACAGCAGCAGAGGTCATAAAATGTTTTGATATATCCCTTTAATCATATTAATTCAAAATTGGTTATTAATCACCTATTTTGTTCCAGACACTGAGCTAGGCATTTGATGTATGTATCATTTTCAAGTCTCACAAGAACTCTGTGAGGTAGTTAGTTTTCTAATTTCATAAAAGAGGAAACTAAGTCTCAGGCATTCCTCAGTTGCCAATATCATGAGCTGTTGTCTTATGGAGCCAAGATTCAACGTGAAGCCTATTGCCAAAGCTGACTTGCTCTTCCTTCAAAACTTATACTGGCAGACGTAGTGAGTGGTTTATAAACACAGGGCTTTCTCCTATTTTGTAGAAACTTACAATATATTTAAGAACTAAAGAGGGCCACTTAAAATAACAAGCCAGTATATCACCAGTGAATAAACCGAAGGGTAAGAAAATATGGACTCTGTCTCTGGAATCCAGTGGTAGATGTTTCAAGTGATTTAGGAAAAAATTAATGAATACAATAGTTGTTTCTTTTATTTTCTTTTGTCCAAGTTTATATATGCAATAAAAATATTTCTCAGCTTTTAGGAAGCATTGTTTACAGACCTAATTGTTAAGCGTTAATTGACTTTAACTGCCTAATAAAATGAACTATGTAATCTTAGGAACTACTAGATCGTTGCACAGATTTTGAGTCTTTTTATCAAGGAATCTTCCTTCTGCTCCATCCTGCACTACACACATACATTACCCTCACAGGTAAGTCTTTCCAGTAGTGCAAACTCTAGGTGATTCTGAGCCTCCTTGGACAAGTTGGAAATTCCACTGTTAACCATTTTTTAAAGATACAGGGAATGGAAGGTACAAAAATGGCACTTAAAAACATCTGTGTCTTTCCAAGCCCCTTTTTAAAAGTGAAAAGTGATATGTTGCTACCATCACATAAATATAAGTGAGGAGTCAGAGAAAGATACAGCCCATGGGCCTCAGATGCTTGCCAGAGAATGTTAATGCTCTATTTTATATTGTTATCACACAAAATTCTATGTGTTCATTGCTTATTTTGATTTCTTTGCCTTCCACAAAAGGTTCAACTGGACTATGTAGAATTAAGATTGATTCTGTGGAATGGTTACAGAACTACAAACAGAAAGTAGTATTCTTCTCAGCAACCTCACACAGGACAAGGTGGTGGTTGCAGTGGTAATTAGCAAGTGGTCCCCAGGAGAATGTGAGAATTGGGGATTAAAATTAGTATTCCAGTTTCAAGTACCAATTCCAATATGGACTTTTCCATTTATCGTCAAATGGAAACTCTTTTGTTGAGGGAGGCGGCAGTGTTTCCTACTCCCCAAAATTACCCAGTGTGAGAGTTTCATAAAATTAAAGTATTTTGGACATTATCACATTCATTTCCAACACATAGTAAACAAAGGAGAGGTTATTATGCAATATTCCAGTGTTATAATAATAAGAAAGTAAATTGTTTTCATGAAAACATAGTGTCATTGAATTACTTTTTCTTTCAAAGATAATACTTTAAACTAATTCTAGGAACCTAGAAATACTAACCTTGGACAGAGACCTTGTTTTTAAAATCAAATGTCATCAAATGCAATCAAATATATGGTTCATTCAGCGCCACTTCAGGGTCCAGAAAATATCAAGTAATGTTATTTGCTCAACAGGGGACTCCCTAAACATTTTTGTATCAAAGTCTGATACTTAGGGAGCTCTTGCTTTATAGAATTCAATTTCAAGTTTTGTTATGCAGATTCAGATTTGTTCTGAAGCAGCAGCTGAAGATTCTGCTTTTGTAGATATCTAAACTAGACAGACCTGACTTTGGAAGTAGCTATTGACTTTCTGTATCCTAGGCAGTTTCATATTGATCTTGAGGCAACTCAATTACCCGCACCTGGAAGAGGCAATGAATTTGAATAGTGTTCATGGCTTTTTTATACATCTTTTTCTCCCTTTGTGAAGGGCAATGACTTACACTTTGCAAAATGAATTAGCAAGGAGATACTCTTGTTCTCTTCTTGAAGGTAATAGAAAAGAGTCTTTAAGATAAAGCACTTTCTAGTCGAGTGTTGAGGTTATTTATGAATACCTATTCTATTCAATTTTCATAGTCTAGATGATTAAAGTGTTTTTCTTTTTTTAAAAAAATTGAGGCTAGCTAAATGTTAAACTTCAAATAGTTGAGGTTTAAAGAAGTAATCGATGTCTCTTTTCCCAAAGTTAATAATAGAAAAAAAAAACATTATCTCCCGAGAAGAAGAGAGGCATATTGCAGAATAATCAAATTACTTTTCATTGAAGAGTAACTACGGGATTTTTTTTATATGGAACTATAACATTTCAGAGGTGGAAGGACACTCGAGAATGAGCTTTCAAATAAGAACTGAAATGATGTCTGCAGTGTGACCGACTCCATCATATACTATTGGTGTGATATCTGCTAAGCTACTTGGCATTACGATCCAAGTAACTTTAGGGCTTTTGGAATAAATGCAGATTATTACCACACCATCTCATAAGAGTTGTTATCAAGGGTAAATTAGATAATATGTGCAAATGCTTTATTCCAGTTCCTGGCACAAATTAAATGATCAAGCATATGATTAACTAGTTCAACTCCATTATTTAACAGGTGAAGTAAGAACTAGAAATATTTTAAATCACTCAATTAAGGTAACAAGGCTAATTAGCAGCAAAATTGTAATTAAAAGTATGAAACCTGGCATTTTGAAATTTACATTTTAAATAGAATTATGTTCAATTCTTATATTCATGTTGATAGATACCTCTTAAGCAATGCACATATTTTTTGAGCATTGCTTCTTCTATTCTAAGAATTAAACTAAACACTGTCGGAGATCAACAGATAAATCAGTACTTTCGTGAAGCTTATCATTTAATAGAAAAAAATAAAAATGTAGGACTAGAATTATAACACAGAAACAACATTTCCTAAGAGGAAAGATCACGTTTAGTTGAATACAACTGGAAAAGTCTCCTTAGATAAACTATTGTTGAGATGTATTTTAAAAATAGATGTACCTTTTCCCTGCCAAAGGCTTACTTACAACTTACGTGTCTACTTGAACGTCCTCCCAAGGATATGTGACTCTCACAACTCTGCTTCCTCTGACTCTTCCCTTTATACCTTTTTGTTGTTGCTATAAATATTTTATTTCATGCTAAATTTATAATCACCCAGGAGGTTTATTGTTTAAAAGTTATAATCATATCATGTTTTAAAAACATAAAAGAAAAAAAGCAACTAATAAAATCACCTGGTTTTAGAAGTTTCTCTAGCCTTTCGTTTGCGCTTATTTATTTTTGCGTGACAATTGTGAAATCCAAACAAAGAAAAGAACATTTTCTTTATCTCTAATTATCTGTGCTTTTATGTGAGCGACTCCAAATTTTATTTTAAAATCATTGGAAAAAAAATAAGAAGGCTTGTCATAGTGTCTGATTAACTTTTTAATTGTACTTTAAATCTTGGCTCAGCTTTAACCATCTGTCCATGTATCACTTCACTCTCCATAGCTGCTAGGCTCAATTAGAGACCCATCTGAGGAGTTCTCTCAGCACTTTGGGACACAGTACTCATCACGTTGAAGGGTCATCATATGTGTTCCCATTTTTTTCTCTGCAGGAAAGTGAGCTTCTGGAAGGCTGTATCTGAGTCCTGTTCCTCCAATATTCAATGAATGCTGTCTGAATGGATCAATCAAATGGAGCTCTGTTTCAATAAGAATTTACCATGCAAAACAAGAAGACAAAGGAGTTTCTAAAACGGAGCGGGTATCAAAAGTAGTCTAGGAACAGAATTATTGGAACAGTTTACACATTATCAGAAAAATACAAACAGTAGTAATTGTCCTGAGATAAAAGAAAAAGAAGGTCAAAAATAGGAAGAAATCTAAGCTGTTAGACAGTCATTATAAAGGCTTGTTTGCTTTAATTTTCTCATTTAATTATGATATTTCTGTTCATTCAATATACTTGGATAAATATTGTTTAAACATGTTTTATGAATATTACAGTGAAAAAGAGTAATAATTCTAAAGAAAAAAAGGTTAAAAAGTATAAAGCTCAATTTAAAAGAAAATGTCTAAAAGAAGCTTTGAATAAAAGCTATGATGCCCTCTGGTGTGCACACATTTTAGAACCAGTCTAATACAGACTTTACATATATATTCACTACATACTAATTGCTTAAAAATTCCATTAGAAAGTATAACAATTCACAATATACTTAATTTCAAAAGACCCAAAATACTAACATAAACTATTTCATAAATTTTTAAAATATAGATGCAAATGAGCCTAGTTTTTTTCTGTTTGTGGGTGTGGTAGTAATTTCTGACTAAAATGTCAAAGCCTAAGTTCTCAATGAGCTTGTCTGCAACTCATCAGAGAATTATGAATAAACATGGATGGAGGAGTATGCAGATTTCCTAATAGAAAAGCCATGAATGTTTTAACACCCAGGGGTTCAAATTATAATAAAGGGATAGCACCTGTCACTGGAGGCAAAATACAAGATCACCTTTTCAATCCCAGGAGCAATTAAATCACAGACAATTTAGCCTCTCTCTGGAAAGCAGTGTCTCCAAAGAATCCATGTGTATGTATATCTCAGAGTGCCACAAGTAAAGAGGTTGCTTTAAATCCCTCTTCTTAGTATTTCCCATATATCTTATGAAAAGGTTCCCCACCACCAATTAAAGGATGATTTCCTGTATTTTACTAAATTATGAGAGGACATACTTACATGGCCTCTTCTGATTATGACAGCTGATCACTAATATGATGTGACCTCCCCATTTCATGTACTTTTGTGCAGCCGTGATTTCTGCATTGAAGCTTTGGTAAAAATGTTTCAATTCATTTGTCTAATGGCGTATTTTTACAGGAAAAATACCGAGAAAAATTATATTGAACTCTCTGGAGAATCTATGCAGCTTGTTTAACAGATGTGTATTCATCTGAGAAAATGCATGCACTGGCCATGCTTATATCCTATTCTGAAGGATGACTCATGCAGTTTCCTGTGTTTCTAGCATCAATATGCCACCACTCTGATGACAGCTTCTTACTCTAGGGATTAGAAGGAGGTTCCTATGACGCAGACTGGTCCTCGGCCTCTCATCCAGGTGGCAGAGTGGAGTAAAAGGCAAGAACGCAGGCAACAGAGAAGTTCAAGACTGAAGAATCCAGGAGGAAGCAGAAGAAACAAGTCCCGCAGAGCAGAGCCCATGAAGCAAAGATGCTTGAAGCTTAAATACCAAAGAGGGGAGAACTGCAGTAAGAGGGGAAGTGTACGCTTCTGAAAAAACTCTGGGTGGCAGCAGGGGAGTCGAGCTTCTGGAGCAGGACACGCATTACTGTTCCAGAAAGCACAAGCACACTCTTCCACACGCTACAACCTCTGCTCTCTGAGGCCTGCCAAGGCGGCAACATAGATGATTTTCTCTCTTTCTGACTGCCCTTAATGAATATATATTTACTGAAGTTACCTTAACAACTAACCATTCTTTTTAGCCTAAAATGCATATCCAGAGTATGCACTGTACTCAAATGACTTCACTATCTGCATATCACATACTCAATAGTGTCAGTTCCAAAAATGGTCCATTACAATGAAAGAAAAAAATAAAAGAGAGTTTTAAAAGCCAGAAATTTAGTTCTGTGAAAACATACAAATTTGATATGGAGAAGATAAATTTTGGAACACTACAGAGTTCCTGAGTTTACTGCATAAATGATGGAAGTCAAGAATAGCAATCAAGAATTAATTCATGTATTCCATAACATTTTTGAGCTTCTTTTATAAACCAGGCTTTTAAAAATTAACTACTAGAAACTGAAAGATTGTAAAATGAAGTTCTATGTTCAAAATTAATTTTTAGATATTCATGGGACTAAATACATGGAAAAATACTGTGACATCATTAACGAAAAAACAAACACATAACAGTAAAATATTATGAGGTCAGGAATAGGCTGGGCCCAGTGGCTCACGCCTGTAATCCCAGCGCTTTGGGAGGCCGAGGCAGGTGGATCACCTGAGATCAGGAGTTCAAGACCAGTCTGGCCAACATGGTGAAACTCCATCTCTACTAAAAATACCAAAGATTAGCCAGGCGTGGTGGCATGCACCTGTAATCCCAGCTACTCAGGAGGCTGAGGCAGGAGAATTGCTTGAACCTGGGAGGCGGAGGTTGCAGTGAGCCAAGATCACCCCATTGCACTGCAGTCTGGGCAACAAGAGCGAAACTCAACAAAACAAAACAAAAGGTCAAATATAAATATACACAAATAAACCTGAATACGGGCCGGGCACGGTGGCTCACGCCTGTAATCTCAGCACTTTGGGAGGCCGAGGCGGGCGGATCACCAGGTCAGGAGATGGAGACCATCCTGGCTAACACGGTGAAAACCCGTCTCTGCTAAAAATACAAAAAATTAGCTGGGCGTGGTGGCAGCTGCCTGCCGTCCCAGCTACTCGGGAGGCTGAGGCAGGAGAATGGCGTGAACCTGGGAGGCGGAGCTTTCAGTGAGCCGAGATTGCGCCACTGCACTCCAGCCTGGGCGACACAGCAAGATTCCATCTCAAAAAAAAAAAAAACAAAAAAAAAACCTGAATATGAAGAATTAATTTACAAAAAGGACTATGGTTTTTAAATATTCTAAAGATGTAGTCTGTCAAATTTCCACATACAAAAATGGAAAATAAGTATATAATTATATATAATGTATTATAATTATGTCTATATATATGCAATATACATATAAAGTTGAAAATATGAGTGTGCACAGGCACACATGAAAGTCTAAAAAGAATCTTTTGGTAACAATGCCTTGGCTGGAAGACTTAATTTTGGTTAAATAAAATACAGCAATCTAACCTCGCCCAATAATTGCCACATGAAAATTATTTCTGCCAAGTCTATACTGATATCTATCTTCCTAAAATATAGTTGAATAGACATAACTTTCTCTGGCTTTTATTTTAACTATTGTCATATTTCTTAAACCATTCAGGCTCCTGTACCAAAATACCACAAACTATGTGATGATAAACAACAGTAATTTGTTTCTTACAATTCTGAAGGCTGGAATGTCCAAGATCATGATGCCAGCAGATTCAGTGTCTGGTAAGAATCTGCTTCCTCTTAGACAGCTATATTCTTATCCTAACCTCATACAGTGGAAGGGGTGAGGGGTATCTTTTGACCCTCTCCTATAAGAGCAATGATTTTATTTGTGCAGATTCCACTCCTATACATAATCACCTCCCAAAAGCCCCACGACCTAATACAATCATTTTGGGAGTGAAGATTACAACATACGTATTTTGGAGGGACATAAACATTTATACCATAGAGCCATACATATACAGGTTGAGCACCCTTAAGCTGAAAATATAAAATTCAAAATGCCCCATACTCTGAAACTTTTTGAGTGCCAACATGACACCAGAAGTGAAAGATTCACACTTGACCTCATGGGACTGGTGCATAAAAGTATTTAAAATGTTACATAAGATAATGTTCAGGTTATGCATACATGAAATAAAAATGAATTTTGTGTTTTAACTTTGGTCCCATCCCCAAGGCATTTCATTATGTATATTCAAATATTCCCAGATCCCCCCAAAATATGAAATCTGTAAGAAACACTTCTTGTCCCAAGCATCTTGGATTGGGAATATTCAACCTGTAGTTGGAGGGCACTGACATTAAAAATTGCCAAACTTAGGTGCAATTTGCTAAAAGGTGGAGGAGATCTAGAACTAAGTTAATGACAAGAAAAGAGACCACAGAATTGAGTAGTATTTCAAATCAACATAATCTTTTTCTCATTTTTTTAAATTCACAAAAATTAAGGTAACGGGCAATTGCTAACATGTACTAAAATTTCCAGTGCTACCTAGTTTACACAGCAATTCCCAGTTTTTTAATAGAAACTGAATCTTCTTCATACTAAGTCCTGAGAGGCTGATGACTTTTAAAATAATAGCCCTTTTAAATATTGTCCTTGAAAAGCCAAAATAAAGCTTTGATTTAAAAAAAATGCTATATATGTATGTGTGCATGGATATGTATCTGTGTGTGTCTGTGTGTGTGTTTGTGTGTGTATGCCACAATAAAACAGGTTCACATTTGCTCGCTGTTTAGTAGAAAATGAAAGATTTTGTTACTTTGAATAGCTTAGTTGAAAATGTTTAGCATTTCTAGTTGTGAAGCGTAAAAAAGAAAAGCCTTTCAATGCATACTACCTATTGTCTGGTCAAAATGAAGAGTGCAGTTATATATACCAATTATTTCATCAAAATATATTACTTAGAATAGAATTTCTCAAGTTATTAGGCCATTGTAAATTCCTAAGATGTCTACTATATTTCCTTATTTCTGGGTACTGATTCTGAGACTTTGAACCAAAATATCCCAAGAAGGGATTATGAGTCTAAGTTGTAATCATTTACGCAGGTGTCTTATTACTCAGATAAATTTGGGAACTATTTCTTCCTTAGTGGTTAATAAGAAAGGTATGGACGGAAAGAGAAACGTGCATTCAAGCATTGCTTATCAAATCAGATTTGTCAAATCTGATTTCTCCATAAGATCACTTGGGAAATTCTATAAAATCCAGATTTGGGGGCCTTGTTGTAGATGTACCTGTTTAAGAAAGTTTAGGAATCATAATATTTTAAAAGCTTCCCAAATCAAATTTGTATTCAATTTGTCTGAATATATCTGCGGGCTTTTTGGAGAGCTGAGATGAAAAATTGCTCTGATAAATCACTAAATTTGCATCACTTAGACTCCTAACAGTTTTTAATTTAATTTAATTTTATTTTATTAGAATACTTACATATTGTCATTTTGGATTTAATCCATTTTCTACTCTACACTGCTGTCAACTTTATCTTTGTCAACTCCCTATTTAATAAATATCTAGGATTCCTAAAGAAGTCCAAACCAGCTCAATATTTGCTCATCAATCTATTTATACATTCATTCTTTCAACAAAGACTTATTAAGTATATGTGTGGTTTTTTAGGAAACAATTATTGACTGATGAAACAAAAGACCAAGCCTATGTTCTCAGAGTGTTTTCTTTCTAGAGGGAGGAGACATAAAATCAGATAAACAATACCAACATATATTGATAGAGAAATAGATAAAGCACAATTGTCATCATTTTCTTGATAGCTATAACCAAGCCAATTAATTACAGGTACAGCATTTGAAGCCCATAGAACTCGAGGAAGTCCACAAATTAGTTATATGGGGGATATATTAAACTCTGAAATTAAATGCAAAAAATTATGTATATATGTATGTTCAAAATTTTCTGTGGAAATTATCCATTGCTATTGTCAGATGTTCAAAGGTATCATTGTTACCCAATAAGAATTTTCTGATAGAAAATGTGTCTTACAAATTCAAAAGATTTCAGGTCTCAGTCAGAGAGTGTATTAGTTTATTATTGCTGCTGTAACAAACTACCATAAACTTAGTGGCTTAAAACCACACCAATTGAGGGCAGAAGTATGAAATCAATTTCATTTGGCCAAAGTCAAGGTGTCACCAGGCTGGATACTTCTTGAGGCTCTGGAGGGATTCCATTTCTTTGTTTTTTCTAGCTCCTCTAAGTCCCCTGTATTCCTTGGCCAGTGCCTTTTTCTCATCTTCAAAGCATATCACAAAGAGTTTGCTACTGCAGTCACATCTTCTCTGATACACTCTGATCATCTGCTCTCTCTTAGGAGGACCCTCATGATTATATTTGGGACCCACCTGAATAATCCAGGAATATCTCCTCGACATCAACATTCTTAATTTAATCCCACTGACAAGATCTCTTTTGCCATATAAGGTAACATTAACAGATTCTGAGGATTAGGGTGTGGACATTTTTGGAAGGGAGTAGCATTATTCAGTCTACCACAGTGGATTAAGGAGGTATTTAGGGAAGGCAATTACATAATTTATAATCACTAAAATCATAAAATCTAGGTGGTCATCTTCTTTATGTTGATATACAGTCACAGGTACCTTTTTACAGATGTAATATAGTTTACATCAAGGATTGGCAAGCTTTTTCTAAAAAGTAACTATTTTAGACTTTGTGGGTAATGTTATGTCTAGTGTAACTGACAAACCCTGCCACTGTACTGGGAAAGAACCCATAAGCAATATATAAATTAATGAATAGGAATATGTTCAAATAAAACTTTATTTACAAAAACAGGAAGTGGGCAGCATTTGACCCATGGTCCAGAGTTTTCTGATCCCTGGTTTAGATAAGTATAAACACGTTAAGCATTTAGTGAGAAGCTATTTTATGTGATATTCTTTGGTAATAAGGTTGTAACATGTTTAATAACCTGGTCTTTGGACACAAACACATTTGGGTTCAAAACTCATTTTCGTCACAAGCATTATAAAATTACAAAAATTAATTAGCTGTCTAAACATAACCCCATCTGTCACATAGTCACATTTACTTAACTGGGTTATGTTTCTAAGACGTGATATTATAGGTATAGAACATGTTCCTGAGGTTGGCAGATATTTAAGTGCCAATAAATATTTTATATTACATTCATGCATAGATGCTGGGGTATAACAATATTTCACTAGACTGTAGAGACATACATACAGATCCAGTCAATAAAACAGTACAAAGTGTATTAAATTAAATATGGGGTAGATAATAGTAATAAAAGAAGTCACAGCTGATATTTAGCTGTGTATTTGAGTCCTTAAATGAGGTTAAAATTGCTTAATAATTGTTGGAAAAAAATGCTAAAATTTTGACTTTAAAAAAATTCCTAATATTATAGTAAAAACAATAAGGTATATAATTCTGATTTAACAATAATTCAAGTTTTTTTAAATTTTATTATTATTATACTTTAAGTTTTAGGGTACATGTGCACGACGTGCAGGTTTGTTACATATGTATACATGTGCCATGCTGGTATGCTGCACCCATTAACTCATCATTTAGCATTAGGTATATCTCCTAATGCTATCCCTCCCCCCTCCCCCCACCCTACAACAGTCCCCGGTGTGTGATGTTCCCCTTCCTGTGTCCATGTGTTCTCATTGTTCAATTCCCACCTATGAGTGAGAACATGCGGTGTTTGGTTTTTTGTCCTTGCGATAGTTTGCTGAGAATGATGGTTTCAAGTTTTAAGTCCATATACATTTTATTTAATTGGAAAACTAAAATTTAAAGTATTTAATTTAAATTTTTATTGCTCAAGACGTACAATGGCTGGGCGTGGTGGCTCATGCCTGTAATCCCAGCACTTTGGGAGGCCAAGGAACGCAGATCAACTGAGGTCAGGAGTTCAAGACCAGCCTGGCCAACATGGTGAAACCCCATCTCTACTAAAAATACAAAAATTAGTCGGGTGTGGTGGCAGGCGCCTGTAGTCTCAGCTACTCAGGAGGCTGAGGCAGGAGAATTGCTTGAACCCGGGAGGTGGAGGTTGCAGTGAGGCAAGATCACACCATTGCACTCCAGCCTGGGCGACAGAGCAAGACTCTGTCTGAAAAAAAAAAAAAAAAAAAAAAAAAGAAGAAGAAGTACATCAATATTAAAAAAAATGGGCTTGAAAATGTATTAAAACTCAAATCATCTTTCCTCTTATGATTAGAAATCATTTCAGACACTTTTCAAGGAGGATTCTATTTGAACTAGACAGTGCTGATTGGTGATTTGGTACATATTCTTCTCTAATTCAAAGGCCACAGTCCACTTATTCAAATTTTGGCATTATTCATGTCAAAGTAAATTTTGTACAGCCTCACATGAAGTAAAAAATTGACAGTGTCCAATAACTTTTCCTAGTTTATAATATGTTTAGGCTTACAGAAAAAGTATTCACTTTCATAATGAAAATATATGAAATTATTTTGACTAAACTATCTAAAATATCAAGACTTAAGAGAACAATGTAAATAACTCTCTATTTTTTCCTGCAACAGAGAGTTATTAAATGTTTTTCACCATTTTGATACTTATTATTCTACAACCATGAAAGCCAAATCAGGCTATTTCAAACTTACTTATATGAAGCATTTTTGTTAGTAGAAAGCTTCTTATCCCTCTGCTTGGGAATATAAATAATGTAGAGATTTTTTGGTTGTTGTTCTCAAATGCCAACTTAAAAAGCTACATATCCTCTTTTGCTCTCAAGTGTTTTATATCATATATTAAAGAATTCTTCTCTTGAAGACATTATAAAAGTATTTGTTATAGTATAAATCCAGTTCAGAAAAAATATACTTGAGCAACTTCTAAGAAGAAAATACGTGATTTAGACATTGAGTCTGAAATATTACTCTGACAATATTTGTATTCTAAAAAGTGATATGTTTGCCTAAGGAAAGTTCTATTCAATTTTTGTTTGAGTAATAACATTTTAATTTTACTAAAAATTCTTAATTCTAAGCAATTCTTAAAGTTCTTTTGAGCACAGATATGATATAGAAAGATTATTCCAATTATATTTAGTAGGATAGATTACATTTTGAGAGATATCAGAGATAGCAAACAATTTCAAAACAAATTACACAATAGATTAAGTTAGTGGAGGTAGAAAATGGAGAAGCATTGATGGACAGAAGAGAAAAGTAGTTTTGAATTTCTCAGGGTACAGTGTTATGTCATTGTTAAAATTATCTTGGAGGAAGATAGGCCTGAATTCAGGGCCTTGCTTTTTATTTACTCATTATGAGAACATTGTAATGCTTTTATCTGAGACCAAGAACTAGTTATATAACCTACCTCATAAACATAGGAAAATGAAATGAGATACAGTGTGACAAGCAACTTGTACAATGTCTTTTAGGGGCTGGTAGTCGAGATAGTAATAGAATATCTAATGACATATTAATTGAATGGAAGAAGAAAAAGAAAAATATAAATTGAATGTGATTGAAGTTGCAATTCTGTGATTCAGCCATTAAAAGAAACAGAAAAAGCTGGATGTGAAGGGAGTGATAAAGCAAAGAGCTAAACATAAGGCTAAAAATCTACTCTTATTCCTCTAACACCTTGCATTATTAGTTCTTACAATATTTTGACTATCTTTAATTGGACTTTGGTTATTCATCCTAATTAACTAATAAGCTATTTATTCTAAAACACGATTGTTTTTATTTAACACTAGGAATGCTTTGTCTCATATTTACTACCATAAAGAGCAGTTGGCTTGTTCCTGTCCACACAGGTTTACTTGTCATTCATTGCCTTCTGCTTTATTGATTAAATGACTTTTTGCGAATTTGTATTCAGTCCAGCACCTCCGTTTCTAAAAGATAGGGCCTAGAAAAATGATGCAGTTTCTGGGGCCAAATAGATTGTGGCACAGCTGATGCTTTGTTCAAAATCTATACCGACTGAAATAACTGGATCAATCATGTGGCTATCTGCATTGATTCATAAGGCTGCTGACAATTTGAATCAGCTGTCATTTTGCATAGAAAACTGTTGCCAAAATCTATATGATTAAAATCAACTTTCTTTTAAATAGATGGTAAATAGAACACAAAAGACAAATCAGAGAAGGAAAAGTATAACATCTACCAACTGGAAAACTAATGCCACTATTTCATCAACATTACTATTCATACTAAACATATTTTCATTGCTAAGCCTATGGCACTATACAAGAAAGTTGAATATAATAAATATCAAAGAATAGTTTTGAAGATATGGAGATAGCTAACAGTCATAATGAAAGATATTTAGAATGTATAGCTCTATGGAAAATACATAGTGAAATATATACAGACAGGAGTTATCAATTATAAAACCTTAACTCTTTAACATTTTTAAAAACAAACCTAATTGTGCCTGTGTCTTTTTTGTTTACTAATATCAAGCACATATTCTTTCTAAAACATGTAAATTTATGTCTCAATTCTAGTGTCCAGGGAATAATTTTTCTATTCCATAAGACTATAAAGTCCAAAACAAAAATCTTCAGAAAACTGTTTCATGTCTTGCTTCTCACTATTGTTTGTTTAGCTATGAGAAATAATAATATATTTATCATAGAATTTTAAGAAGAGTTTAGTATGTTTCATAACTTTAGGTATCTCAAAAGTGTTTTGTGAGCAGTAGGACTAATGTAATATTGTTTATTTTTATTCAGGATGTATTAATTTCTTTTCATCATTCACAGCATAATATCTACCTCTGAGAGTAGCAACTTGAGCTCAAAATATGTACTTTATTTCCAGCAAAAACATCTTTAAAATAATTACATATTTCAATAAACAATATAAACTCTTTTCTTCCATTTTGTTAACTTATCTCTAATTATGAAATTAAAATAATCAAATTCTAAATATTTTATTTAAATATTAAAAAAGTTTTCACAAGTGAATGTTTCAGATGTTTGTCTCAAAAATGCTGTTTAAAAACTTTTCAGTCATATAATCATCAATATTTTAATTTTAAGCAAAGGAAATTAAAACCACCATTACTATAATTCAAACTTATATATAGAAGTCACATATCATTCATATCTTACAGATTTTATTAAATTCTAATTTAAAAATTTGAAATGTTTAATGTACCAATAAATTAGTGGGAATACATAAAAGACAATTTTGGTATACAATATTAACTAAATACTTAATTTTCAATTTCTATTTAAATTTGTGTATATTTTACTTATTTTTCTCATTGAACTGAATTCAATGGGTATTTTCCAAATGTAAAATTATATCTTCAAGAAAACGAATCATGGGTGCTTCATAGACATCTTCCTATTAATTTATTTCCTTAAAAATTCAACATATTAGAGATTAAATATATTATTTACAATACTCACTTTTGATCAATGTTTTTAACCTTAAAATTTTTAACTTTAAGAAAAAAAACTCTTAAAATATTTATATTTCTAATTACAGATTATATATGACTATCACTAAAGGTTAATTTAATTTATGTAGCTGAAAATAAATTAACATAAAGCATAGAAGAGAGTATGAGAGGGCAACTTACTCCTTGTTTCTAAAACTGGCAAAGTGTGAAGGTCACAGCTTATATATTAATATATTCTATTATGTCATCTGTTGTAAACAAAGAATATTAAATACTCTTATTCATTTTCTTCTAATGAGCATATATTACTAAGGTGTCTAATGAATAGATAAAACATCTTTTTTCATTAAATATTTATTAAAATAATATTCTCTACGCTCACCAATTAAGGGACAATTTATTCCAAAAAGATAGCAGGGCAAACGCCAAAGAGACTGACTTCATTCGCTTATAAGCCTCTGGCTATCAAATCGATAATATTCCCTCCTGTTCTTTATTGGATAAATAAAAATAAAATAAAATACAATGTAAACCAAAGGAAGTTATTTAAAGCTAAATTGAATGCAAAAATTTTTATTGAATTCCATATTAAATTCAAAATCTTTAGTGATTTACTGAAAAGTGTCTATTTGCATTAAAGGCTCTATTCCTTTCTCTTAAATGTGTGTAAAAAAGAGTCTAATAATTCATTTATATCAAAATGCTTGACAACTCCAAAATATTAAACAGTTTTTCACTCTCTCTTCCTGTCTCTTTCTCTCTCTCTCTGTCTCTCTCACGCACACACACTCATGCGCATACACGGATTTAACTATGCACAGTAGATGAGTAGAATTATTTAAATTAAAGCAGATAATTTCTGTGTAGTTGTTCTACAAAATTACAAAGATTGTTATCAATAATAATACATCGGAGGTAAGGATTTACTATAATAAGCATAAGTAACAGTTATAGGTACATAGATATAAATATACATAAAAATTATGGGTAAATTATACATGATGATAATGAAGGTAAATAGATAATAGATTTTTATGTTTATATTCTTTAGAAACTGTTTACTGTTTTATAATTTGAGTTTAATTTATGTTCATAATTGATTCCACCACAAGTATTTATCAATTGTTTCTCTTTCTTAATGTTTTCTGGGAGAAAAAGCAAATACCCTTTCTTTCTTTTCTAAATAAACTGACAAAGCAATACACGTTTATGGAAAAATGTTTATAGGGAAGGATTTCAGTTTTTCTTCAAAGCAGGAAATGGGTGCCCTCTGCTGTCGATTTGTAGGTTATTTTAGCCAGTATGATTCTGCTACATGTGAAAATATTCAAAAGTGTAAAAACCTATTATTATATTATTTATAATATATCATATATAAATATGATATATTGTATTACACATTCTATGCAAATAGAATATGTTGTATTATATATAAATAATATTTAATGTATAAAGTTGATAATTTTTCAAAATCAAGATTTGGTTCAGTTACATGAAAGATGAATTAGCTGAGGAGTTGGAAGAGGGGATTATTAATTGTTTGTAAGTATTTATACAATAGAAAGCAAAGACGACAAAAGCCCAAAGCTTTTAAATGAATAAAAAGCAAAGAATTGAGTTTCAGGTGAATATTTTTAAAAAAATAATTATTCAATGTTTCACTACCATCTGCACCATCAATAATACATAGCACATGGAGTATTTTTTCTGAGTAGTTTATTAGAATAATACAAAAGAATATCACAAGAGTTAATTGATATTTATTCTTTTCTACTTTTTCCTCATTCTCTCTCAATCGCGCAGAAATGCTTTTTTTAAAAAAGCAATGTGAATGTTATGCAATAAATTATAAATGTAAGGAAAACCTTCTCATCATTTAATTTTCAGATTGTATAACATACGTTCAGGTCTTTTATTTGATTTAAATATTATAAATTAGGAAGTTTAATATATAACAAACCAAAAAAACTCCCATTTAATGAACATAATTATAACAAAGTATTTAAATACATTTAAAACTATCCTCCTCCTGAAATTACTCACATTTTTTAAACACTTGAGTATTTACTTAATAGTTATTTATTATCTATCTATAAGGCAGTTACTCTAATAAACCTAAGAATAAAGCCATGAGTTAGGCAAGGATCCTGGTGTCAAAAAGCATGTGTTACTATAATATGGTTTAGTTATACTACCTAAAATATCACCAGTCATTATATGTGAAAATATAGAGTATTTTTTAAAAAGTACATACATACCAAAATCTTATTTCTCAACCCAAATATTAGCTCCACTCCATGTTGAAATTCACTGCAGGTGTAGATATATTGAGATATATGTTATGTGTGTATGCGTGTATATATATGTGTTGGGGCGGGGGAAAGATAAAGCGAGAGAAAGACAGAGACAGAAAGCAACTGAGAAAGAAACAGAGAGAGATTCCGATACATAATTTCTGAATATAACTTTTTACCAATAATTCATAAATTCAAAAAAAGACAATATATTTATTATCGCAGTGCTTATCCACAAAATTAAATATAATCTCTTTCAAATGTTTTATTTATATACAAGTTAGAAAGAAATGTTCTCCTCTTAATTGATCTCAAATAATTTGCCATGCTTTCTAATAATTAGACATAACAGACATCTTTAATAAATTACTCATTTTTGAGGTATAAATTTTCTGAATCTTTTTTAACCAATAAGAAACTACGTTTCAAACTATAGTCTCCTTTTTCTTAATGTCCTAAGAAAGATGCCCTCAAATTTCACTGCCCATTTACTCTGATGTACTTTAGCCCCGAGGTACATAAAATCCATTACATCATGATTTGATGCAGTGAAAAATTCATTAAAGAAATATGAACTCTGAATAAAAGTATTTCAAACAAGAATTATTTTAAATAAATAATTGTGTGGCAGAGAAGTGAATTTAATTTTTCTAATAAGATAACAGAGAGTGATCCATCAGTGGAAAGATGATAGACTACTAGTAAAGAGACGTATACTTCAAGAGTATCAATTAGTGACAACCAAAAATGACTGTATCATACATATAAATAAAAATAATTTAAAAGAAAAACACATTCAAATGATGTTGCAATATACCTGTGGACCCAAAATTTTGTTTTGATAGGGATTTCACAATTTTCAATGGGTTCTCTGAGAAAAGAGTTTTTAAAAATAATTATTTAAGATTTTTGTAATTTGTAGATCTATATATTTATAGGGTACATGAGATATTTTGATATAGGCATGCAATGTGAAATAAGCACATTGTGAGAACATGTGATGTTTCTCTTTCTGTGCCTGGCTTATTTCACTTAACATAATGAGCTCCAGTTCTATCCATGTTGTTGCAAATGACTGGATCTCACTCTTTTTATGGCTGAATAGTACTCCATTGTGCATATGTACCACATTTTCTTTATCCATTAATTCGGTGATGGCCACTTGGGTTGCTTCCAAAAGTTAGCTATTGTAAAGAGTGCTGCAACAAAGAGGAGTGTGGATATCCCTTTCATATACTGTTTTCCTTTCTTTGGAGTATGTATGAAGCAGTAGGATTGCTGGATCTTATGGACTGCTCAATTTCTAGTTTTTTGAGAAACCTCCAAACTGCTCCCCATAGTGGTTGTACCACCAACAGTGTACAGGATTCCCTTTTCTCCACATCTATTGCCTGTCTTTTGGATATAAGCTATTTTAAATGGAATGAGATGATAGAGTACAGTACTTTTGCTTTGCGTTTCTCTGATGATCCATGTCGTTGAGCACTTTTTCTTTTCTGTTTTTTTTTTTGTGTTTTTTTTTTTTTTTTTTTGAGATGGAGTCTCGCACTGTTGCCCAGGCTGGAGTGCAATGGAGCAATCTCGGCCCACTGCAACTTCTGCCTCCTGGGTTCAAGAGATTCTCCTGCCTCAGCCTCCCGAGTAGCTGGGATTACAGGCGCTTGCCACCACGCCCAGCTGTTTTTTGTATTTTTAATAGAGACGGGGTTTCACCATATTGACCAGGCTGGTCTTGAACTCCTGACTTCAGGTGATCCACCCACCTCGGCCTCCCAAACTTCTGGGATTACCGGCGTGAGCCACCGTGCCTGGCCCATTGAGCACCTTTACACATGCCTGTTTGCAATGTGTGTATCTTCTTTTGAGACATGTCTATTCAAATATTTTAAATATTTTGCCCATTTTTAAAAATCAGACTATTAGGTATTTTTCCTATAGTGTTGTTTAAGCTCCTTTAAATGTTCTGGTTAATAAACCCTTGTCAGATGGGTAGTTTGCAAATATTTTCTCCCATTTTGTGGGCTGTCTCTTCAGTTTTTCTATTGTCTCCTTTGCTGAACAGAAGCTTTTTAACTTGATGCGATCCCATTTGTCCAATTTTGGCTTCGTTTCCTGGCTTGTGGGGTATTGCTCAAGAAATCTTTGCCCAGACCAATGTCCTAGAGATGTTCCCCAATGGTTTCTTGTAGTTTTATAGTTTGAGGCCTTAGGTTTAAGTCTTTAATCTATTTTCTTTTGATTTTTGTGTATGGTGAGGGATGGGGATCTACTTTGGTTCTTTTGCATACGGATATTCAGTTTTCCCAGCACCATTTATGAAGATATTGTCTTTTCCCCAGTGTATGTTCTTGTCACCTCTGTCAAAAATGAGTTTTCTGTATGTGTGTGGATTTGTTTCTGAGTTCTCTATTCTGTTCCATTGGTCTATGTGTCCGTTTTTATGCCAGTGTCATGCTGGCTCTGTAGCATAACTTGAAGTCAGGTAATGTGATTCCTCTGGTTTTGTTCTTTTAGCTTAGGATAGCTTTGGCTATTCTGGTCTTTGTAGTCCCATATAAATTTAAGGATTGTTTTTACTATTTCCGTGAAGAATGCTATTGGCATTTTGATAGGGATTGTATCAAATCTGTAGATTGCTTTGAGTAGTATGAACATTTTAACTATATTGATTATTCCAATCCATGTACATGGAATATTCTCCCGTTTTTCGGGGGTCCTCTTCAATTTCCTTTATCAATGTTTTTATAGTTTTCATTACAGAGATCTTTCACTTCTTTGATTAATTCCAAGGTATTTAATTTTATGTGTAGCTTTTGTAAATGGGATTACTTTTTAAATTTCTCTTTCACATTGTTCACTGCTGGCATATAGAAATGCTACTGATTTTTGTATGTTAATTTTGTATACTGCAACTTTATTGTTTTTCAGTTCTAATAATTTTCTTGTGAAGTCTTTAGTTTTTTCCAAATATAAGATCATATTATCATCAAGTAAGGATAATTTGACTTCTTCCTTTCCAACTTGGTTGTCCTTTATATATGTCTCTTGTCTGATTGTTCCAACTAGAAATTCCAGTAATATGTTGAATAAAAATGGTGACAGTGGGCATTCTTATCCTGTTCCAGATCTTAGAGGAAAGGTCTTAAGGTTCCCCACTCAGTATGATACTAGATGTGGGTCTGTCTGTCTTATATGGCTTTTATTATACTGAAGTATGTTTATGTCATCCCCAGTTTTTTGAGGGCTTTTATCATGAAGCGACATTGAATTTTATCAAATGCTTTTTTCAGCATCAATTGAAAAGATCATACGTTTTTTATCTTTTATTCTGTTATACAATATATCATGTTGATTGATTTGCGTATGTTGAATCATCCTTGCATCCCAGGGATAAATTCCACTTGGTCATGATAAGTGATCTTTCTAACGTACTGTTTAAGTTTTTTGTTTCTTTGTGTGTTTGTTGAGACAAGGTCTTACTCTGTCACCCAGGCTGGAGTGTAGTGGCATAATCATGGCTCACTGCAGCCTCGACTTGCTGGGCTCAAGTGATTCTCTCACCTCAGTCTCCTTCGTAGCTGGGACTACAGGCACGCACCACCATGCCTGGCTAATTTTTTGTACTTTTTATAAAGATGGGGTTTTGCCATGTCACCCAACGGTCTTGAACTATTGAGCTCAAGCAATCTGCTTGTCTTAGCCTCCCAAAGGGCTGGTATTGCCAGTGTGAGCCCCTGCACCCAGCCTATTTTGTATTAATATGTTGTGTAACTTCTTTTGGGAGGCATATTCTGTATTTAACTTTTTCATATTGTTTGATGTAGTCACATTTATATAGTTTATGGTGTATATTAATAAATTAGTTTTTCCTTTTTAAGTTTCTGTTCTAAGTTGTCATTCAACTACCTTCTGATACTTACATATGCTTTATTCCTTAAACATTAATCATAAAGTACAGGAATAAAAAGAATTAATTTTGACATTTGTCATTTATTATTATTACAAAATAAGTATCCTTTAAGGAAATATTAATATTAACTAATGCAAGATCTCATGCTGTTACATTACTGCCATAGACAGCTATATAGTCATTACTTTCTATGGCAGTAGGAGTTAAAAGTAGAATGCTGTTCAAATTACTATTCTTGTACAAATTTTCTTTAAAAAGCCAGCGTATAATGGCTTAAACAGTATTAGGTTTCATATAAAAAAGGAATAAGAAATGCTTAATATGTCAACTCAACAATCTCATAGATGCACAATTATTTCCAAATATGACGAGCATTCAGGCCCCTTCAGTAGTTTTCCCTCTCAGGTTATACTTTGACCAGACTTAGCATCTCCAGCAATCTGGTATTGGTATGTCTGGTGATCAAGGTTACTACCTATGAATTCCTATCAGTCAAAATGTTAAATATTGCAACCTAGAGAGTGAGGCAGTATCATTGGGAAGCAGAGAACCTCTCTTTACTCTCTTTAGCTGTTGTATAAGTGCAAGATAAAGACCAATAACGTTTTGCATAAGTGTTAATACAAGCTGTTTCAGTCCAGCCTCCTTGTGCTCTGGCCTCAGTGCCTTAACTTACTGCCTCCGGCCCTACTCCTCTATTTATGTGTCCTGAAATTAACTAGCTTGCTAATTGGTTGTAGGTCCCAAAGGTCGAGAGCTATGAAAAACTGTATATACAAATTTGCCATCCTTAGTAATATAATGATGTTCTTAAGATCCTGAGACTACAGTCTTTCAGCTTCAGAGGACTAGCTTTAGTTTCTTTTAGTAGTAGTTATAACTAAAATTTTAACCTCTCTGAGTGTCAGTTTCCATCTTTGTAAACTTAGGAATTGCTCTGTAATTCACTGATATAGTTTATCTAAAGTTCCTGACACAAAATAAGCCATGATATATGTTAGCTATTATTAATTATTGTTTTTCTTATTGGCTTTACATTTGACTACTGAAAAGTCTTGTATTTTGGGATATATAGCAAAATAAATGAGGATACTTGGAGTTATCTATACAAATGGGTTCTAAGGGTTTTTTGTATAATAGATTTTTAAAAGTATAACAACTTAAAATTCATAGAAATTTGGAGGTGTATAGAAGAAATTCAAGTAAAAATAAATAACTTACCTTGGTTTATGATAATATATACATATGTATATTATATACTATATATACATTATATATGTATATATGTATATATAATGTATACATACTATATATTATACTATATATACAATATATAATATATAATATGAAAAGTTAAATACACATACATATATACATACTATGTGTACACTATATATAATATATAGTACGTATATAGAGTATATAATATATGTATACATAATATATACATACTGAATATTATATATTGTGTATATATAGTATATAATATACTGTATATATAATATATACATAATATATATTATATATAGGGTACCTATGGTATGTGTATATGTATGTGTATTTAACTTTTTATATTATATATTATATATGTATATATAGTATCAGAAAACTTTACCTCTAAACTATCATATCACAAAACTGTTCTATGCCTGGGATGTTGAGTGGTGGAAAATAATCTTTCCAACTCGGCATCACAATTTGTCCTCTAGTTTCTGAAGCATTACTCCTGAATCCAGAATCTCATAATATTTAATTAATATATCAGCTTCTTTTGGTCCTAACAGGTTTG
Organism: Homo sapiens; assembly: GCF_000001405.40. Classification (NCBI taxonomy): domain Eukaryota; kingdom Metazoa; phylum Chordata; class Mammalia; order Primates; family Hominidae; genus Homo; species Homo sapiens. The sequence continues at coordinate 80,695,764 of NC_000003.12, forward strand.
TAGAAACACGTCAGATTTTCCAACACTTATTCATTCATTCAACAAGTATCTGTAATGTTTTTAAGTCTTTTATATGCTCTGATTAAGCAATGGTAAGCAAAACACAACTACAAGACTCTCAATTGTTACAGAGATAGCTATCCAGAGACGAAAAACAAATGTTAAATAATAATCCTTAAATAACTGTTTATTCTCTCCCAGTCAGTTCAACAGATATGTATTCATTTCATTCAACACACATTTATTTGGCTCCTGCTCCATGTGTTGCCCATAGAGATAAGATTAAAACAAAAAGCCTCCACCAAACTGGAGCTTAAACTCTAGTGAAAAAGACAATAATAAACAAATTCACAAATAAATATGTAACATCGTAGGTGACAAATTACACGGAAAAGATAAATACGCTAAGGAAGGTAGAAAATGTAAGTGGTTTGTAATTGCTAAATTAATTCGTATTAAATATGAATAAGGTAATATTTTTATAAGTGCTATAAATAAAAACATGGGTATCTTAAAAGACAGAAGAAAATGACAAAGAGGATTTACTCATGGTGGAGAAACTAGTCTGTTTCATCCATTAACATGTAGACTTTGGATCTCTGCCAGCCATTGTTAATCATTGATCTCTGTGGCTAGATTTCTTAAACATACACAGAAGTTCAATAACTTTTGATGCCATGAGGAATTGTGTGGACTAAGCACTAGGTAGACATTTGTGTGCAGCACGATTAGCTAGGTAATGTAAGTCTGCAGACCTTCACTTCTCCAGTGATTATTTCTTGCCTAACCTGTTTCAGTCCTAACCTGTTTGACTACATTGAGGTACTTCCTCTTGTGTTCCAACTCTGCCCCTCTGGCATGTCTTACTGTAGCTTGGCAGCCAGATTACGGTCCTCTTTTGGCTATCTTATTTCTCTTTTGAACTTATATATCTGAACTCAATTTCTAACTGCTTATTTGGTTTTACATTAGTTTCTCTTAATGCAGCTCTGGTTCTATCCTTAACAAATGCACGTTTATTTAGTAACAATAAATATTGTCCATTTGATCATTAATATGAACGGACTTACATTCTGTGGTCATAAAATGTCCAGAGTTTTATCTACATTGGTTGAAGAGGCCAACTGATCTTCCATCTCATCTAATTATTTGCATTTATTTAACATTATATCCTATTCCATATCTGCTTGAGTCTGTATTCATCAGTTAAATTCCAAGACATACAGTCCCTGACCATCCAGAAAGATCCTATGCTCCAGCTGCATTTTTCACAAAATTCTATTTGTCTTCATTGCAGTACATTACAATTACTATATTCCAATTTAAAAGCAGGAAAAATTATGCACCCAGTATGTGATAGATAATTGTTTAAATTAATAAATGGATAAATCAAGGTGCAGAAAAAAATGGACTCCCTCCAAAATTATTTCTTTTGTAGTTTGAAATGTTATTTTAAATGACGTATTCCAGCATTAAAATATTCCCACTCAGAACAGTCCTTTCTCCATATGTCTTACTACTTAGTATACCTATGTGCTGTATTAATAATACTTTAGCAACCAAATAGCAGAATGTGAGGATATGCCCTGCCTGGGAATATAAGCTTAGCTGTCCATCCAGAAAGGACATACAAGTTGGAAGAGTATCACTACTACATTTTGACTTTTAATCAACTGCCCTCACATTACCTGCACCATATTCTGTCTTCTTACCGTATATGGCATCTGTCTGCTTAAGCAAGAGTGGAGAAGATATTTTCTGTATGTTGTCACTGTTAGAAAGAACAAGTCATAGCTGCATGGAGCAAAGGTGAGGATTCGGGATTCTAACTGGTGTCCAAACAAACTTTCAATCAATCTTCTTGTTTTCATATCTTCTCTCTTTACAAGTATTTAGGAGTTTCACTGGCAGAAACATTCTATTATTCTATGTGTAAATACACTTGCCTTGTGTTGCATCTCTAGGCAAGCAATTAGCTTTCAACTTTGTTTTCCCTACTAAAGTATCACTGTAAAGCAGACTCAGTAATTACGGATCCCAAGAGAGGACTCTCACTGCATGGAGAATAGCAAAGGTGATTATTACGCCAAGTACCAGAAACTGAAGTCTATATAATGATTCCCACTGCATCCTGGGCTACTGCTTATGTCCATCATGCACTAGTTACCTATTTATCTGAGTCCAGTGTGACAGAATTCACTCACATACAAGTTATGTGAATCAGGTTTAATACTGACTGATAAGCTGAAAGGCACAGAAGACTGGATCAATTATGAGCAGATTCCCCAAGGCTTAAGAAACAGTACAGAGAAGAAAAAGTCTTGACTGTGTGTGCCCCATTTTGCACGACAGTTGAGGGACTCTGAAAGGCAGTTCACCCCTTTCAGAGGTTATATAATTCAGAGACTATGTGACTTATGGGGCAAAACTTTGAAGGACATCCTGCTTCTAGGGGAGAGAGAACAAAGCCCAGGCTGTCCTTCCTAATTCAAAATATTGCATTTCCAGCATGTTCTACAGTTATTCTTGAGATCTATAAGCAAGAAAGAGAGGAGAACTAGGTCATCCCAAGGCCATCTAGGGAAATGTCCTGCTATCACTTGCTCATCTGCTTGTTTTTCTTCCAACATTTTATTGACATCTCTTATTTTGTACAATAACTACCCATGGTATTTTTCCCTAGTGAGATGAAGCAAAGATGTATGTGTATACCAGTCTATGTTTATATAGATATAGAATGTATTCTATTTTTATAGTCCTCAGCTATTATATTTGATTTTTAAGAGTCGCTTCTATAAGTGCTTGAAAAAAAATTATCTCATGCCTTTGTGCCATTCTCCCCTCTTCCAAGCCTATAGAAACTTGACAGATGCTTCTGCAGAAGTACCAGTTAGGCAGACATCATCAAACATATATAAACACAAATTGGCTGCTTTTTTCTCTTTTCCCTTTCTCTTAGGAATTTCTGGCAATTCTGAACTAAGAGAAACGGGCAATGTTCTCCACTGTCTTTTAAAATATCCAAAATGAAAAAACGTTATTGTATAGGTAGATGTAAAAATTAATGAAGCACATAAAGGAACAGATAGTGTTAGAGCACTTATTTCAGTATACATGACTACTATTGTTAAAAACATTGCAGACAAGAGTTTTGATTTATTAATTCTAAAAAAGATTTGCAGTGACTTCTTGTCCAATTTTCTACAAAAATATAATTTTTTATTGATTTTAAGTTAAAATTTGTCATAGTTTTGGCCAGAATTAGCAACAAAACGTATAGTTTTCTGCTCATTTCGATATACCATAGCATGCTAAATGAATATTCACATTTTTATAAATTTATGTTTTTTAGTTTTAAATAATTTTACTTTTCAATTATCCCTATGATTTATTTTTTCCTAAATGACTTCATTTATATATTTAACTGCATTAGGAGTTGGTTTTGTAATTATCATTTATAACATTACCTGCAACCCTATCAATGTCAGTGGAGGCAAGCCTGTTTTTTTGGCAATAACATATATATGCAGTTTTCTTACATGTACAGTTAAATTTCAGTTTATATTTTGAGATATGAGCATACACTATTATGCTAAGAGAACTAAACAATTATTAATACTCAAATTTTTTTATTTGTTATTGTGTTATGCTTACAGTCACAGAGTAATGGTTTCATGACTGCTCTTTGTGTACCTTCTCAGTGAGTGTTATCGGGTTAGTAAAACTTTATAATCTCACTTTGGTTTCCCACTGCTAAGTGCTATGCATGTGTCACAAAAAATATTTTTCAACATGTCAAAAACAATGAAAATGTATGAATGAAATGAAAAGTAACAAGGAAAGAAATCAGCTATGATTTTGGTTATGGGGGTCATAGTTCCAGAACCAGTTGGCTATAAAACACTTTATCCAATAATATTGTTTTATCCATATTTTTAGGAATGTTTATAACGTGAATGTTGTTTCATCATGAGTTACAATCATATAAAACTGAATCCACATGGTAAATACAAGATGGTGTGTTTTCACTGGTGAGATTTTTATTTTTTTTAAATAGTGATGTTTCTTCTCTCACAAGTGATCATGCACCTTATTTTCTCCCTTATTCTTACTTAGAAGAGTATCTCATTATCTCCCTAATGAGAGATCTTGTGAAATCTGTCCTCCACTTTCAGATGCATAAAACAATGAGAAATTGGACCATTTCCTTCAAAAGATGTATTTTAAGTTCTATTCTTTCTTATTTTTGTCAACACTTGGTCATATTTTCTTCTATTTTCTCATTATCTCCCTCTAATTTTAGTTTAGCAATCATGTGATTTTAAAATATAATCTGTCTTAAGTAATGAAGATATTTTTATTTTTCACTAAATAAATTACATATTTGACAATACACATTTCAATTCCATCCTGATATTTAGTAGGTTCTGAATGTGCAAATAATATAATATTTTGCCTATCCTCTTGAGTATAAACAGTTTTCCAGAACTATTTGTGATAGTCATTGAGGGGCTCCACTCATTTCTCCCATCAAGAGAACCTAGTTACTGTGATATGTATAGGTGACAAATGGGCTTCAAATATCTGTTGCATTTCTGAATTCATGTTAAGGCCATACTCTCTCATGGGTGTTCCCAGCCAGTGACTAAGATTTCTAGGGCTAATAGAACTGAGCTATTCCTGCTGATCACAGGAAATTTTTGATGGGAAATCTTTACTCCAGTTCTCCTCATTAGACATGGAATGAAATTTCACAGAGCTGCACTGTGAGAGAAGTTTCTCTTAGCCCTTTCTTCTTCCTTTATACATTACTGTCTGAAGGTTTCTCACTGCCTACTTCTTTGTCCTTTCTCCTTTATTTTTCAAATACAATTTTCCCAGTAAATATTGTGCATGTGTCTTCGTGTCTGCTTACAGAAAGGTCCAAAATGGTGCACTAGTGATTTTTGTAGTAAAATTACAAATTAGTAACAGCTAAAAATTGGTGTGGTAATATTTGTGAACTACTGTGCAAGTCACCATACTTAGTTGGTAATGCTGAAATCTAACATAAGCACACCTCAGTTTCTGGATACAAAGTAAATCACATTATTTCCCCTGCCAAGGATCTGGTGAATATATCCAGGGATTTCCAAAAGAGAATCGCGCATGTAATTACAGACCAAGGTGTGCCCAGTGTCTGCTTTGTTCTTTTTCCCAGGCTAAGGATATCCCTTGAAGATAATTATTGCCTTCAACTGACATGTGAATGCATGTTTGTAAATGCCATAAATGCCACCGTTGTCTCTCAAGATTCTCAAAAACACAATTATTAAGAATACTAGGGAATTACCAGCAATAGGGAATTCCCACACTCCCTATAGAACATGTTGAAGAACCATTCTAACAGTGCTAAATGTTTCAATCAGTAAACCATTTCATCCAGGCCTTGAAATTAGACTGCTTGTGCCTAGAACATTTCAATATACAGAAACCAGATTCTGTATCTTCAAATAAATTGCCTGTAAAAGAATACTTCCAAAATATTTCTACAAGAAGAAGCAAGAATTTGTTGATATATCACGATGTAATAACCTCTTTAGAAATTAAGCCTATTCCTCAGATTTAAATTTCTTTAGAGTTGCAACTATATTTTTCACTGTAAGCAAGACTGTTTTGTAGATGTCTTTTAGGTCAAGAGTGTTTATGTTTAAGAGTTCTATATAATTTTTGATATCATGTCTGGTTGACATATCAATTATTGAGTGGAACACTGAATTCTTCAACTATTTTTTGATGATTGTGCACTTCTTTCTTTAAACATATTTTGTTTGTCTATCAGTCAGCTTTATTCCCCAAATTTCAATATTAATCTGACTCATCAAAATTATTCACAGCTTTAAATTATATTGTATCATTTCTCTACCCGAACATTTGTCTCTAGATAAGTCCTAAGGAAACTTTATTAAGATATTCTCCAATTAAAAATTGTACTGGGAGGTATTAAACTTACAGTGTTTATTTTTAAAATGTACATTAAATCCAGATGAATATTTGCTCAGGGACCTGGCGGGAAACAGATGGCACAATCAAACTGGGTATTTGAAGAAAGTTAAAAATAAAAAATTATTACAAATATGTTGGCTGGGTTTAGGGAATTTAAGAAGGGCAATTTCAGTACCAGGGCTGGGAAGTCATTTCCACCCTAGGACTGAAGTGGCAAGGGGAGAAGGTGCTTACTAGAAAGCAAAGCATAGCTCTACAAAGAGGGTTTTGAAAGGACTTGCACCTAAAGAAAAATGCAGCCAACCTGTGACCCATCAGCTAGGGAGCTGCGGTACAAGTACCCCACGCCTCTTTTCTCCTGGTCTCCTATTTTCTACCGGTGCCTCTCATTGTCTGATCCAAGTAGCGAACTGAATGCAACCCCTTCTACTTAATCTTCCCAAGTAGACAGCAAGATGAGAAATAATTAAGAATGGATGTGCTGAATAGGAGTGGTCGAAGTGGGAATCCTTTGAATTTAGGGGGAATGCTTCCAACTTTTCCCCATTCAGTGTGATGTTGGTTGTGGGTTTGTTGTATGTGGCTTTTATTATTTTGAGGTATGTTTTTTCTATGCCTAATTTCTTGAGGGTGTTTTTATCAAGAAGAGATGCCGGATTTTATCAAATGCCTTTTTTGCATCTACTAAGATGCTTATATGGTTTTTGTCTTTAATTCTGTTTATTTGGTAAATCACATTTATTGATTTACAAATGCTGAAACATCCTTGAATCCCTGGAATAGAACCCACTTGATTACTGTGTATTATTACTATTATTATTATTATTATTATTATTATTATTGAGATGGAGTCTCACTCTGTCTTCCAGGCTGGAGTGCAATGGCGCAATCTCTGCTCACTGCAACCTCCTCCTCCCAGATTCAAGCGATTTTCCTGCCTCAGACTCCCGAGTAGCTGGGACTACAGGCAAGCGCCACCACGCCCAGCTAATTTTTGTATTTTTAGTAGAGACGGGGGGGTTTTACCATTTTGGCCAGGATGGTTTCGATCTCTTGACCTCATGATTTGCCCACCTCAGCCTTCCAAAGTGATGGGATTACAGGTGTGAACCACTGCGCCTGGCCATCTTTTTGATGTGCCGGTAAATTTGATTTGCTAGTATTTTGTTGAAGATTTTTGCATTTATGTAAATCAGGGATATTGGCCTGTAGGTTTACATTTTTGTTGTTGTGTGTTCTTGCCTGGCATTGGTATCAGAGTGATGCTGGTTTTGTAGAATGAGTTAGAGGGGATTCTCTCCTACTCAATTTTTTGGGACAATTTTAGCAGGATCAGTACCAGTTTTTGTACATCTAAATATTGCCCAAAGCACTCAACAGATTCAACACAATTCTTATCAAATTACCAATGTCATTTTGAACAGAATTCAGAAAAACAGTACTGAAATTCATATGGAATTTAAAAAAAAGAGATCAAATAGCCAAAGCAATAGTAAGCAAAAAGAATAAAGCTGGATATATCACATTACCTGACTTCAGATTGTACTTTAAGGCTATGTAGTAACCCACACAACATAGTACTGGTATAAAAATAGACCCAAAGATCAATTGAACAGAATAAAAAACCCAGAACAAAAGTGAAATACCTACAACCAACTGATCTTTGATAAAGTTTACAAAAATATACACTAGAGAAAGGACACTCTATTCAATAAAAGATGCTTGGAAAATCAGGTAGCTATATGCAGAAGCATAAAACTGGACCCCATCTCTCATCATATAAAAATTAAGTTAAGATGAATTAAACTCTCAAAACTATCAATGTAAGACTTGAAACTAAAGTTCCTAGGTAAAATTTATGAAAACCTCTTCTGGACAGTGGCCTAAGCAAAGAATTTATGACTTAAGTCCTCAAAAGCAAACACTACCAACACAAACATAGACAAATTGGACTTAATTAAACTAAAAAGCTTTTTACAGCCAAAGAAACGATTAACAGAGTATGTAGGCAACTTACAGAATGGGAGAAATATTTGCAAACTATGCATTCGACAAAGGGCTATTATCCAGAATCTACAAGGAACTTGAAAAGCTCAATGAGAAAAAAGCAAATAAGCCAATAAAAAGTGGGCAAATGACATAAAAAAATTCTCAAAGGAAAACACCCAAGTGGCCCAAAAACCTATTAAAATGCTAAACATCATTAATTATCAGAAAAATGTAAACTAAAATTACAATGAGCTATTATCTTATACCAGTCAATATGGCTGTTATTAAAAAGTCCAAAAACAACAAATGTTGGCAAGGATACAGAGAAAAGGAGACACACACTCCTTGTCAGAATGTAAATTAGTACAACCTCTACAGAAAACAGTATGGAAATTCCTCAGAGAACTAAAAATAGAGCTGCTATTTGATTCAGCATTCCTACTCCTAGGTTTCATCTAACCTATAGAAAAGAAACCATTATAGTAAAAAGTCACTGTTATTAGTCTGTTCTCACACTGCTAATAAATACATACCTAAGACTGGGTAATTTATAAAAGAAAGAGATTTAATTGACTCATAGTTCCACATGGCTGGGGAGGCATAATTATGGCTGAAGGTGAATGATAAGCAAAGTCACGACTTACATGGCAGCAGGCAAGAAGGCATGTGTAGGGGAACTCCAATTTATAAAACCATTCAGATCTCATAAGACTTATTAACTATCATGAGAACAGCATGGGAAAACCCTTTGCCCATGATTCAATTACCTCCCACCACATCCCTCCCATGACACATGGGGATTATTACAATTCCAGCTTAGATTTGGGTGGAGACACAGAGCCAAATTGTATCATTCCACCCTTGGTCCTTCCCAAATCTCACGTCCTCACATTTCAAAACTAATCATGCCTTCAAGTCTTAACTCATTTCAGCATTAACTCAAAAGTCCACAGTCTAAAGTCTCCTCTAAGACAAGGCAAGTTCCTTCTACTTATGAGCCTGTATAATCAAAAGCAAATTACTTCCTAGATATAATGTGGGTACAGGCATTGGGTAAATACACCTGTTCCAAATGGGAAAAATTGGCCCCAAAAAAGGGGCTACAGGCCCCATGCAAGTCCAAAATCCAGTGGGGTAGTCAAATCTTAAAGCTCCAAAATGATCTCCTTTGACTCCATGTCTTGTATCTGGGTCATACTGATGCAAGAGGTGGGCTCCCATGACCTTGAACAGCTCCACCCCTGTGGCTTTGCAGGCTACAGTCCCCTTCCAATTGCTTTCACAGTCTGGCGATGAATGTTTGCAGCTTTTCTAGGTGCTGTCGGTGAATCTACCATTCTGGAATCTGGAGGATGATGGCCCTCTTCTCATAGCTCCACTAGGCAGTGCCCCGGTGCAGACACAGTGTGAGGGTTCCAACCTCACATTTCCCTTGTGCACTGCCCTAGCAGAGGTTCTCCATGAGGGTCAGGCCCCTGCAACAACCTTCTGCCTGGACACCCAGACGTTTTCATACATCCTGCAAAATCTAGGCAGAGGTTCCGAAACCTCGATTCTTGACTTCTGTGTACCTGCAGGTTCAACACCATGTGGAAGCTGACAAGGTTTAGGGCATGCACTCTCTGAAGTCATGGCCCAAGCTGTACCTTGGCCCTTTTTAACCACAGCTAAGGTGGCTGGGATGCAGGGTACCAAGTCCCTAGGATTCACAGAGCACGGGGATCCTGGGCTGGGCCCAAGAAACCATTTTTTCCTCCTAGGCCTCCAGTCCTGTGATGGGAAGGGCTGCTGTGAAGGTCTCTGACATGCCCTGGAGACATGTTTTTCACTGTCATGGAGATTAATATTTGGCCCCTCATTACTTATGTAAATTTCTGCACCTGGCTTGAATTTGTCCTCATAAATAGGTTTTTTTTTTCTATTGCATCATCAGGCAGCAAATTTTCCAAACTTTTATGCTTTGCTTTCTTTTCAAACATAAATTCTAATTCCAAGTGATATATTTGTGAATATGTAAAATTGAATGCTTTGAACTGCACCCAAATCACCTCTTGAATGCTTTCTGCTTAGAAATTTCTTCCGACAGATACCCTAAATCATCTTTCTCAAGTTCAAAGTTCCACAGATCTCTAGGGCAGAGGCAAAATGCCACCAATCTCTGCTAAGGCATAACAAGAGTCACCTTTGCTCCAATTCCCAACAAGTCCCTCACCTCCATCTGAGACCCCCTCAGCCTGGACATTATTGTCCGTTTCACTGTTAGTATTTTCATCGCTATTCAATTCTCTATAAGTTCCAAACTTTCCCATATCATCCTGTCTTTGGAGCCCTCTAAAGTGTCCCAAACTCTGCCTGTTACCCAGTTCCAAAGTTGTTTCCACATTTTTGGGTATCTTTACAGCCACACCCCACTTAACTGGTACCAATTTACTGTATTAGTTGGTTGTCATGCTGCTAATAAAGATATGTGTGAGACTGGGTAATTTATAAAGAAAAGAGATTTAATTGATTCACAGTTCCACATGACTGGGGAGGCTTCACAATCATGGCTGAAGGCAAATGAGGAGCAAAGTCACATCTTACATGATGGCAGGCAAGAGGGCATGTGCAAGGGAACTCTCCTTTATAAAACCATCAAATCTCATAAGTCTTATTCACTATCATGAGAACAATACAGGAAAACTCCACCCCCATGATTCACTTACCTCCCACCAGTGCCTCCCAGGACATGCGGGGATTATTAAAATTCAAGGTTAGATTTGGGTGGGGACATAGAGCCAAATCATATCAGTCACCTTTACTGGTATGTTAATGACCATACTATTCACAATAGTATAGTCATGGAATTAAGTGTCTGTTGATGGATAACTGAATAAAGAAAATGCAGTGGGTAGACACACACACACACACATACATATACATACCAGGAATACTACACAGCTATAAAAAGGAATTAAATCATATCTTTTGCAGCAACATAGACAGAACTGGAGGGCATTATTCTAAGTGAAGTGACTCAGAAACATAAAGTTAAAAAAATGGTACGTTCTTACTTATAAGTAAGAGCTAGACAATGGACATACAAAGAGGAGTAATAGATTTTGGAGACTCCAAAATATGGTAGGATGGGAGGAGGTTAAGAATGAAATATTACCTACTGGGTACAATGTATGCTATCCAGGTAATGGGTACCCTAAAAGCCCAGAATTTCCCACTACACAATGTATCCATAAAATACAAATGCATTTGTGTTCACTAAATCTATAAAGATTAAAAAAAAAAATCATGGATGTGGAGAGCAAAGATAAAACATTCAGCACAATATCTAAATGTTTAAATCTCCTTTCCCTAGTAATTCAAATCAGTGTGAAATAGTGGAAAAAGCAAGGGCTTAGGAGTCCCATAGATCTGATTTTGACCCTGGGTCCCCACCATCTTTTTTTTGTTTCCTTGAACTTTTTTACTTAACCCCTCTAAGCACTTCAAATTTTCTATGGACATTTAAGATAATACATGCAGAGCACTGAGCTCAGTTAGACACCAAATGCATACTAACAGCTCTAATTATTTCTGATTAATGAACAGGATCATAACTTAAATTGCTTTTATGTAAATGAAACCCCACATATCCCTATGCCAGTACACACTGTTCTAAAATTGAAAGAATTTTCAATTGAAAATTGAAAGTAAAAACTAGGGCGGAAATTTTTAAAGTACCAAACATCACCTAAGAAATTCGTTAAAATGTACATTCCTGAACCCTTACATATAGATTTGGTTTATTCTTTCTGGAAAAGTTCCCAGGAATTTGTCTTTTTAAAAAGAATCTGATTTGTTCCTGATGTTGGCGGCCTATCGGACCAATTTGACTCCCTCCCATAAATACGCATGTGTAACCTATAGTAGTGTGTTCATTTATTAATTTGTATGAATATATAAATGTAAATCAGTTAATTCAGTTTTTAACTTTTAGAATTACCTGTAGTTGATATACAGTTGTAAGTGGAGAATGGGGTAACATATTAAATATAATAAACATAATTAATAATAAATCTGGAAACATTAGATATACAGTCATACATTGATTAACAACAGAAATACAATCTGAGAAATGCATTCTTAGGTGATTTTCTGATTGTGTGAACAACACAGAGTGTATTTACACAAACCTGGATGGTATAGCCTACTACACATCTAGGCTATATAGTACAGCCTATTGCTCCTAGGCTACAAACCCATATAGCATATTACTGTACAGCATATTGCTGAACTAAATACTCTAGAAAATTGTAGCACAGTAGTATTTGTATATCTAAACATAGAAATGATACAGTAAAAAAATATGATATACAAAATAAAAATGGTACACTTGTAAAGGGAAGTTACCATGAATGGAGCTTGCAGGACAGGAAAGCTATAGCTTTTTTCTTCATAAACTTTTAGTTGTGTTAACCTTTGACTCTTGGAATAACATTTAGCTTAAAACAAACACAATGTATGGCTGTAAAAAATATTTTCTTTCTTTATGTTATTATACAAGCTTTCTTAAATCTTTATTTATTTTTACTTTAAAAAAATTTTATTAGAAAACTAAGACATAAACACACACGCTAGCCTAGGCCTACACAGGATCAAAATCATGAATATCACTGTCTTCCACCTCCACATCTTGTCCCACTGGAAGGTCTCCAGGAGCATTAACACACATGGAGCTGGAATCACCTATGATAATGTGTTTTTCTGAGATATCTCCTTAAGGAACTGCCTGAGGCTGTTTTACAGTTAACGTTTTGTTTTTGTAAGTAGAAGGGGTATACTCTAAAGTAATAGTTTACTAAAATATTGTATAATAAATACTAAGCGATAGGAATTTTTCAGCTCCATCATAATCTTACGGGATTACCATCACATATGTAATCTGCTGCTGAACAAAACATCTTTATGTGGCCCAGGCAATCTCATTTTATTTGTGCAATTTCTCTTTATTTACACACTCAAATAGAATTGGAATGATTAATCTATTCACTCACTCCAGATAGCATAATTAATTTTTAGTCATCAAAATTTATGACATTTATTTATTGAAATGTTATCTCTTTTATATGAAATTTACAATTTATGTCATTATAAATGTACTTTGCTATCTATAGCTACCTAATGCATATATTTCAGTTTTTGTTTTAATATATCATTTGAAATTTAAATTTAAGATGTATTAAGATTATTCTAGTTTTATTAATCAGGGCTTTCATTGTCATACAAATGAGACAACTGTCTGCTAGGTTCCGAATGAATGAATTCTACCTAGTTAACGAGCATAATGAAAAAGTAACTATGGCTGATACCAATTAACTCTTTATAATGTTATTCACCACTGAAATGTGCCAGTATTTGATTTATAGATGGCCAAATAGGAATAGCTCTGGTCTGCAGCTCACAGGGAGATCAACACAGAAGGCTGGCGATTTCTGCATTTCCAACTGAGGTACCCAGCTCATCTCACTGGGACTGGTTAGACAGTGGGTGCAGCCCATGGAGGGCAAGCTGAAGCAGGGCAGGGCATTACCTCATTTGGGAAGCACAAGGGGTTGGAGAACTCCCACCCCTAAGCCAAGGGAAGCCATGAGGGACTGTGCCATGTGGAATGGTATATTCTGGCCCAGATACTACACTTTTCCCTCAGTCATCACAATCTATAGATCAGGAGATTCCCTCGGGTGCCTACACCACCAGGGCCCTGGGTTTCAAGCACAAAACTGGGCAGCCGTTTGGCCAGACACTGAGCTAGCTGCAGGAGTTTTTTTTTCACAACCCAGTGGTGCCTGGAACACCAGTGAGAGAGAACCATTCACTCCCCTGGAAAGGGGACTGAAGCCAGGGAGCCGAGTCGTCTAGCTCAGCAGATCCCACCCCCATGGAGACCAGCAAGCTAAGATCCGCTGGCTTGACATTCTCACTGCCAGCACAGCAGTCTGAAGTCAACCTGGAATGCTTGAGCTTGGTGGAGGGAGGGGTGTCCACCATTACTGAGGCTTGCATAGGAGGTTTTTCTCCTCACAGTGTAAACAAAGCCACTGGGAAGTTCAAACTGGGCTGAGTCCACCACAGCTCAGCAAAGCTACTGTAGCCAGACTTCCTCTCTAGATTCCTCCTCTCTGAGCAGGGCATCTCTGAAAGAAAGGCAGTAGCCCCAGTCAGGGGCTTGTAGATAAAACTCCCATCTCCCTGGGACACAGCACCAGGGGAAGGGGTGGCTGTGGGTGCAGCTTCAGCAGACTTAAAAGTTTCTGCCTGCTGGCTCTGAAGAGAGCAGTGGATCTCCTAGCACAGCACTTTAGCTCTGTTAAGGAGCAGACTGCCTGCTCAAATGGCTCCCTGAGCCCTGTGCCTCCTGACTGAGAGACAACTCCCAGCAGGGGTCGACAGATACCTCATACAGGAGAGCTCTGGCTGGCATCTGGTGGGTGCCCCCCTTGGACGAAGCTTTTAGAGAAAGGAACAGGCAGCAATCATTTCTGTTCTGCAGCCTCTGCTGGTGATACCCAGGCAAACAGGGTCTGGAGTGGACCTCCAGCAAACTCCAGCAGAGCTGCAGCAGAGGGGCCTGTTAGAAGGAAAACTAACAAATGGAAAGGAATAGTATCAGCATCAACAGAAAGGACATCCACACAAAAACCCCATCCAAAGGTCACCATCAAACACCAAAGATAGATAAATCCATGAAGAGGAGGAAAAATGAGTGCAAAAAGACTGAAAATTCCAAAAACCAGAATGCCTCTTCTCCTCCAGAGGATCACAACTCCTTGCCAGCAAGGGAACAAAACTGAACAAAGAATGAGTTTGACAAATTGACAGAAGTAGGCTTCAGCAGGTTGGTAATAACAAAATCCTCTGAGCTAAAGGAGCATGTTCTAACCCAATGCAAGAAAGTTAAAAGCCTTGAAAAAAGGCTAGAGAAATTGCTAACTAGAATAACCAGTTTAAAGAATAACATAAATCAACTGATGAAGGTGAAAAACACAGCACAAGAACTTTGTGAAACATACACAAGTATCAATAGCCAAATCAATCAAATGGAAGAAAGGATATCAGAGATTGAAGATCAACTTATGAAATAAAGTGTGAAGACAAGATTAGAGAAAAAAGAATCAAAAGGAAGAAACAAAGCCTCCAAGAAATATGGGTCTATGTGAAAAGACAAAACTTATGTTTGATTGGTGTACCTGAAAGTGGCGGGGAGAATGGAGCCAAGTTAGAAAACACTCTTCAGGATATTATCCAGGAGAACATCCCCAACCTAGCAAGAGAGGCCAACATTCAAATTCAAGAAATACAGAGAACACCACAAAGATACTCCTTGAGAAGAGCAATCCCAAGAAACCTAATCATCAGATTCACCAAACTTGAAATGAAGGAAAAAATGTTAAGGGCAGCCAGAGAGAAAGGTCGGGTTATCCATAATGGGAGGCCCATCAGACTAACAGCGGTTCTCTCGGCAGAAACACTATAAGCCAGAAGAGAGTGGGGGCCAATATTCAGCATTCTTAAAGAAAATAATTTTCAACCCAGAATTTCATATCACATCAAACTAAGCTTCATAAGTGGAGAAATAAAATCCTTTACAGACAAGCAAATGCTGAGAGATTTTGTCACCACCAGGCCTGCCTCACAAGAGCTCCAGAAGGAAGCACTAAATATGGAAAGGAACAACCAGTACCAGACATTGCAAAAACATATCAAATTGTAAAGATCGTTGACACTATGAACAAACTGCATCAACTAACGGGCAAAATAACTAGCTAGTATCATAATAACAGGATAGAATTCACACATAACAATATTAACCTTAAACATAAATGGGCTAAGTGCCCCAATTAAAAGACACTAACTGGCAAATTGGATAAAGAGTCAAGACCCATCAGTGTGCTGTATTCAGGAGACCCATCTCACATGCAAAAACACACAAAGGAATTTCAAAATAAAGGAACGAAGGAATATTTACTAAGCAAATGGAAAGAAAAAGAAGGAGGGGTTGCAATCCTAGTCTCTGATAAAACAGACTTTAAACCAACAAAGTTCAAAAGAGACAAAGGAGGGCATTACATAATGGTAAAGGGATCAAAGAAACAAGAAGAGCTAACTCTCCAATATATATATACCTAATAGAGGAGCACCCAGATTCATAAAGCAATTTCTTAGAGACCTATAAACATACGTAGACTCCCAGACAATAATAGTGGGAGACTTTAACATCCTACTGTCAATATTAGACAGAACAATGAGACAGAAATTTAACAAGGATATTCAGGGGTTGAACTCAGCTCTGGACCAAGCAGACCTTATGGACATCTACAGAACACTCCACCCCAAATCAACAGAATATACATTCTTTTCAGCACCACATCACACTTATTCTAAAATTGACCATGTAATTGGAAGTAAAACACTCCTCAGCAAATGCAAAAGAACAGAAATCATAATAAACAGTCTCTCAGACCACAGTGCAATCAAATTAGAGCTCAAGATTAAGAAACTCACTCAAAATTGCACAACCACATGAAACTGAACAACACGCTCCTGAATGACTGTTGTATAAATAAATTAAGGCAGAAATAAATAAGTTATTTGAAACCAGTGAAAACAAAGACACGATGTACCAGAATCTCATGGACACAGTTAAAGTAGTGTTGAGAGGGAAATTTATAGCACTAAATGCCCACAGGAGAAAGTGGGAAAGATCTAAAATTGACATACTGACATCACAATTAAAAGAACTAAAGAAGCAAGAGCAAACAAATTCAAAAGCTAGCAGAAGACAAGAAATAACTAAGATCAGAGCAGAACTGAAGGAGACAGAGACACTAAAAAAAAAACCTTCAAAAAATCAATAAAACCAGGGGCTGGTTTTTTGAAAAGATTAACAAAATAGATAGACTGTTACCCATACTAATAAAGAAGAATAGAGAGAAGAATCAAATAGACACAATAAATAACAATAAAGGGGATATCACTACTGATCCCACAGAAATACATACTACCATCAGCTAATACTATAAACACCTCTACGCAAATAAACTAGAAAATCTAGAAGAAATGGATAAATTCATGGACAAATATACCCTCCCAAAACTAAACTAGGAAGAAGTCCAATCCCTGAATGGACCAATAACAAGTTCTGAAATTGAGGCAGTTAATTATTAGCCTACCAACCAAAAAAATACCTCAGGACCAGACAGATTCACAGGCAAATTTTACCAGAGGTACAAAGAGGAGCTGGTACCATTCCTTCTGAAACTATTCCAAACAACAGAAAAAGAGGAAATCCTCCCTAACTCATTTTACGAGGTCAGCGTCATCCTGATAGCAAAACCTGATAGAGACACAACAAAAGAAGAAAATTTCAGGCCAATATCCCTGATGAACATCCATGAGAAAATCCTCAATAAAATACTGGCAAACCAAATCCAGCATCACATCAAAAAGCTTATTTACCATGATCAAGTTGGTTTCATCCCTGGGATGCAAGGCTGGTTCAACATACTCAAATCAATAAATGTAATCCATACACAGACAGAACCAATGACAAAAACCACATGATTATCTCAACAGATGCAGAAAAGGCCTTCATTAAAATTCAACATCACTTTATGCTAAAAACTCAATAAACTAGGTATTGATGGAACGTATCTCAAAATAATAAGAGCTATTTATGACAAACCCACAGCCAATATCAGACTGAAGGGCAAAAGCTGGAAGCACTCCCTTTGAAAAGTGGCACAAGATAAGGATGCCCTCTCTCACAACTCCTATTCAACATAGTATTGGAAGTTCTGGCCAGGGCAATCAGGCAAGAGAAAGAAATAAAGGATACTCAAATAGGAAGAGAGGAAGTCAAATTGTTTCTGTTTGCAGATGACATGACTGTGTATTTAGAAAATCAAAACCGGATGTGGTGGCTCATGCCTGTAATCCCAAAACTTTGTGAGGCTGAGGTGGGCAGATCACCTGAGGTCAGGAGTTCGAGACTAGCCTGACCAACATGGAGAAACCCTGTCACTAGTAAAAATACAAAATTAGCTGGGTGTGGTGGCACATGCCTGTAATCCCAGCTACTCAGGAGGCTGAGGCAGGAGAATAGCTTGAACCCAGAAGGCAGAGGCGTGGTGAGCCAAGATTGTTCCACTGCATTTCAGCTTGGAAAAAAAGAGTGAAACTCCATCACAAAAAAAAAAAAAGAAAAGAAAAGAAAAGAAAATCTCATTGTTTCAGCCCAAAATCTACTTAAGCTGATACACAACTTCAGCAAAGTCTTAGGATACAAAATCAATGTGCAAAAATCACAAGCATTCCTGTACACCAATAATTGTCAAACAGAGAGCAAAATCATGAGTGAATGCCCATTCACAATTGCCACAAAGAGAATAAGATAACTAGGAAAATAACTTACAACAGATGTAAAGGACCTTTTCAAGGAGAACTACAAACCACTGCTCAAGGAAATAAGAGAGGACACAAACAAATGGAAAAACATTCTATGCTCATGGATACAAAGAATCAATATAGTGAAAATAGCCATACTGCCCAAAGTAATTTACAGATTCAATGCTATTCCCATCAAGCTACCATTGACTTTCTTCACAGAATTAGAAAAAAACTATTTTAAATTTCATATGAAAATAAAAAAGAGCCCATGTAGCCAAGAAAATCCTAAGCAAAAAGAACAAAGCTGGAGGCATCACGCTGCCTGACTTCAAACTATACTACAAGGATACAGTAATGAAAACAGGATGGTACTGGTACCAAAACAGATATATACACCATGGAACAGAACGGAGGCCTCAGAAATAATGCCACACATCTACAACCATCTGATCCTTGACAAACCTGACAAAAACAACCAATGGGGAAAGGATTTCCTATTTAATAAATGGTGTTTGGAAAACTGGTTAGCCATAGGCAGAAAACTGAAACTGGACCCCCTCCTTACAACTTATACAAAAATGAACTCAAGATGGATTAAAGACTTAAAAGTAAGACCTAAAACCATAAAAACCCTTGAAGAAAACCTCGGCATGCCATTCAGGACATAGGCATCTCAAAGACTTTATGACTAAAACACCAAAAGCATGGCAACAAAAGCCAAAATTGACAAATGGGATCTAATTAAACTAAAGAGCTTCTGCACAGCAAAAGAAACTATCATCAGAGTGAACAGGCAACCTACAGAATGGGAGAAAATTTTTGCAATCTATCCATCTGACAAAGGGCTAATATCCAGAATCTACAAGCAACTTAAACAAATTTACAAGAAACAAACAACCCAATCAAAAAGTGGGTGTAAGAACATGAATAGACACTTCTCAGAAGAAGACTTTTATGTGGTCAACAAACATATGAAAAACAGCTCATCATCACTGGTCATTAGAGAAACGCAAATCAAAACCACAGTGAGATACCATCTCACACCAGTTAGAATGGCGATCATTAAAAATTC
This sequence comes from Homo sapiens, assembly GCF_000001405.40. Classification (NCBI taxonomy): domain Eukaryota; kingdom Metazoa; phylum Chordata; class Mammalia; order Primates; family Hominidae; genus Homo; species Homo sapiens. Next base: position 80,715,232 of record NC_000003.12, read on the forward strand.
AGGAAACAGCAGATGCTGGAGAGGATGTGGAGAAATAGGAACGTTTTTACACTGTTGGTGGGAGTGTAAATTAGTTCAACCACTGTGGAAGATAGTGTGGCAATTCCTCAAGGATCTAGAGCCAGAAATACCATTTGACCCAGCAATCCCATTACTGGGCATATACCCAAAGGATTGTAAATCATTCTACTATAAAGACATATGCAAACGTATGTTTACTGGAGCACTATTCATAATAGGAAAGACTTGGAACTAACCCAAATGACCATCAATGATAGACTGGATAAAGAAAATGTGGCACATATACACCATGGAATGCTATGCAGCCATAAAAAGGATGAGTTCCTGTCCTTTTCAGGTACATGGATGAAGCTGGAAACCATCATTCTCAGCAAAGTAACACAGGAACAGAAAACCAAACACCAGATGTTCTCACTTATAAGTGGGAATTGAACAAGGAGAACACATGGACACAGGGAGGAGAACATCATATACCGGAGCCTGTTAGGGGGTGGGGGATAGGAGAGGGATAGCATTAGGAGAAATGCCTAATGTAGATGATGGGTTGATGGGTGCAGCAAACCACCATGGCATGTGTATACCTCTGTAACAAACCTGCATGTTCTGCACATGTATCCCAGAACTTAAAGTATAATTAAAAAAATGAAATATGTTTATCAAATATTTAATGCTCTGAAATTTTTCATGTTTAAATAAAACATTTCTCCTGTCAGGTTTTATTTAAAAGCCTCAATTTAAAATATTTTAAATATAATCTTAACTAAATTATAGTAAACTAAATATTGCTTTTGAACCATATAGAGCTTCAAAGATTTCTCTGAGAACCTACAAATGAGTTTACTAAAGAAACAGGAATCAACTAAAAATGTCAACAAAAACACAAAAAATAATTTATTATAGAAATAAGTCAAGCCAAATAGCATTACATAAGAAAAAATGAAAAGGAGTAAATACTTTGAACTTTTCTGATGCAGTCAACCCCTTGCCTACAGCAAATATGTCATGTTTCTTCTTAGAGGCACTCTGACGAGACCTGTGGATGTAAGGATTATCAACATACTTTTCCATTAAGAAGAGATTGAAAAACAATTCCCAAAAGAACATAAGGAAACTAGTCTACAGCAAGCAGTGCTATTGACTGTATGTAATTTATTTGCGAAACTAGGTTCCCCTTGCAATGTAAGATTACAGGTTTATGCCTCTTTCATGGTCATTCATTTCTGTTTGTTTTTCAACCTATTTTCCACAGCATGGTTCCAACATTCATTTCAGATTCTACATGTAATCTACTTGAGGAAAGATTCAAACTTTCTTAAATACTGTAACAAATTTGTGAATTTTAAAAAATCAAGTATGAAAACTAAGAAAACTAAGATATGTTTGCTGCTGGTGATTCCTTTCTCTACAATTTGCATGAGATGATTATTAATGTTAATTGGCACATTCCTTATGACAGAATAAAGCTTAATACTCCTGTCTGATACCAATTTCCTTAATGTGGATGATTTTGAGGAAGATCATTGTAGACTGAGAATATTTCTCAGTGAAAAGACACCTAGAAAATTAAGATTATAAATGCTCCAAATTATTGGAAATATTAAACAGTCATATTTTTATAGAAAGTTATTCTACTAGAGAAATGGTAGCTTTTTTTTTTTTTTTTTTTTTTTGAGATGGAGTCTCATTCTGACACCCAGGCTGGAGTGCAGTGGCGTGATCTCTGCTCACTGCCATCCCCACCTCCCCGGTTCAAGTGATTCTCCTGCCTCAGACTCCTGAGTAGCTAGGATTATAGGCAGGTGGCACCACACTCAGCAAATTTCTTTATTTTCAGTATTGACGGGGTTTTCACCATGTTGGCCAGACTGGTCTTGAACTGGCCTCAAGTGATCTGCCTGCCTCAAACTTACAAAGTGCTGGCATTACAGGCATGAGCCACCATGCCTGGACAAGAAATGGTAGCTTTTTAATCCAATAAAAGTGAATACAAAATATTCAGACTCTTTAGTGTTTTCTTTAGATTTTCATTTACTTATATTTGCTTTACCTGCCCACCCATCAGCATATATTTACTGGGCACTTATGTAATATAGGGGCACAACACATGGACTATAAAGAATACAATGAGATTGGTGCTTGATAACCTAATTATGGTGGTTAATATCAGCATTAATTATAATACTTGGCATACCTATAATATATACATATATATATACTTATTTTGATTTACATTCAGAATTATACATAGTACAATTCATGTGTCCTTTAGTTATGGCTTAATGTTTGAATCTTTTATAAGTTTAGCAATGTTCAATATGAAACTCATTATTGGTCAGGAATAGGCAGAAAGTTGCTGATTCACCCACCTAGCATAAAACATTAAATTTTAAAACAAAACGAATCAGAGGTTCAAAGCAGAGCAAGGTTTATATATATTTACCTTTGTGTAAAACTAACTTTTTTTAATTCATAGAGGCACAGCAAGAATTTACTTAGTCATGTCAGTGGAGTTGTGAAGTTATGTTATTTATGTAATTTTCTGAAATATCTCCATATCTCAAAATGACAATATTGCTTTCTAATTCCCTTGATTATATTTCAGACAAATTAGTGTTATAAGTCCTTTATGGCAATACCATAACTTAAAACATTATGCTTTTTACACAGTATATTCACCATTGCTTGACATCTATTTTTTTAATTGTAAGAAAAAATTCTAAAAGGGAACTTCCACAATTATATTAGTTTCCCTCAAATATAGAAAATGAAGACTTTTATAGAACTTATTTTCATAGAAGAAAGTTATAGGACAGAGGGAATATTTGTGATCTTTACTGACAGATGTGAATGAGAAGGAATATCATCATTTTTATATAGACAAGCAACCAAGTTTAAAATATGCTTTCAAATCTCTTTCAAAGTGTAACAGTAAACTATTATGTCCTGAAGAACAATCTACAAATAACCAATACAAGAAAATTAAACTGCACAAAAATCAGAATATAGCTTTTCACTTTACAAAGCATCACTTTAAGAACAAAATTTACTACAAAGTACTTCTTGATATTAGGATACATTAAGTAAGCTTGAAATAGATATACTTAAAGAAAAACAAAAATAGTAAAATAAAATGCATCTGATGGGCGGCAGATAAAAAACAATTGCTAATACCAGAAAAACCTCAAAGAGGGCTTAGACACATCTTACAGTGAAGTTATAGAAGAGTTTATTTTGGATGAGAGATGGCATTAATAAACACGTTGCTTTCTCTGGAATGTTTCTCATATTAAATATTCACATGATTATATATGCAATGACTGAAATTGCAAAGAGATGCCACGCCTTTTGAAAATAATTTATAAATAATATCATACATAAATAAGTGTGCTTCTAAAATAGGTTACTTTGTTTCTTTCAGTAAATGCTGTTTGTTAAATGTTTCTTTCATGACTTGAAAAAAGTTTCTTAGCTTACTGCAAAAGTGTAATGTTATGCTACAGCTGATAGATAACGATATGATATTCTATTCATTCCAGTTTAAAATAATTTGATCTTTGAAATGTAAATTATAAATTTAAGCAATTCACTCAATATAAAAGAATTATAATCATGAGGGTATATTCAATATACTTAATTGACTATAGTCCATATCACTGCTTATAAACTTTCCAAGCAAATGGCTTCTACTTTTGTGTGTGTGTGTGTGTGTGTGTGTGTGTGTGTCTATTTAACTTGGGACTGAACACTAGGCATATATTTATCCTAATAAAATTATCATTTTTATTTTACTTTATAGGTTTTTGGAAGGAGCCTTCATTTATGCTAATAAAATTATCATTTTGTTATACTTTATAGGTTTTTGGAATGAACCTTCATTTATCCTAATAAAATTATCATTTTTGTTATAATTTATAGGTTTTTGGGATGAACCTTTGGAAGCATAGCCAGGATAAAACTTTATTGTGTTTGCATAGCAGTCAAATATTTCAAAATCTTTCTCGCAGAATCATAAAAGCATGAGAAACTTGCAGCTTAGTTTTTTTCCTTTATATGTAAGCTATAAGGTTAATTGCTAAGATAACGAAACAAACAGATGCAGTGAAGAGTGGTAATAACAGAAAGCTTCCTAGAGATTGTCAATTTACCAAACGATTTGTAAATTACTAAATCTTTCATTATCAAATGTATTCACCCTATGTTCTATGGCATGCTGTTTGAAAGCAGTTGCTTTTCAGTGTTTGCCCTGTTGGTATCATCCCCTCGATCACAGAAAAAAATAAAATCCTTCTGTGACTAAGAACCCTGAATGTAATTTACTTCACAGAGTTGTTTCTGGGGAAAAAATAACTTAAGACATGCATGTGAATATTCAAAAGGGAACAATGATGCTGAAGGGTTACCGAGAAAGGAAGAACTTGAGAATACTAATAAAGGACTTTCCATTTGCATACCCTGAAAATAACTCTGCCCAAAAGATTAGTCCAAAGTGTTATTACTTGCAGAACTCTGATTGTCATTAGCCTGGCACTGGCATCACCATTCCCATTAGTACCCAGATGGACTGTGAGAATGGCATAAACAATTGCTCAAATGAATCTACCCACTATTGGTCTCTATCAGTCAGACCAGTGGTGCTATTAAGATAATGCCCCTCCTACTATGGCTTCAGCTTTCACCTGGCAAAGCTCGTATGTTTCTATTTACACAAATTAAACAATGTTGAAAGAAAACAAAATTTGTATTTAAAAGACAACTTAAAGAAGAAGAAATGTGTGCTAGGATTTAAGAGTCCTGGTACTCACTTCTGGTTTCAACTCTTCCTATCTATATATCAATATCAATAACTGTATATATATACACATACAAGGAAACACACACATATACTCACAGAGCTATCTTAAATTTCTGAGTATCAATTTCTACAAAGCGAAGAACATACTATAATGATTTTCTACTCCTGATCCTGTGAGAGGTGTTCATACTTATTAAAACAGGCAATAATACTATTCAAATGTAATGTGATATTTCTGTCTGGATGCATTTTGTTCTAGTTCACAAATAAATTATCAATCGTTGTGTGCTTTTTGTGATGTATATTCTAATTAAGAAAATAAATAAACTGGTTTATCAAAACTTCTTTCCAGGACACTTACTCACTAATGAATTTATTAATTCTTTTACTAAATATTTAGTGAGTGATTTCTATTCTTCAGACATTGTGATTTGTTGTGGGCTAGAGATATTCTGTATGTGTTCCATGGAACTTACATTGCAGTTGTAGAGACTCATAATAAATAAAGTAACAAATATATGCTAACACCTCCAGTAGTGATAACTACTAATAAGAAAAATTAAGCAGAATAAAATCATAGTTATAAGCTGGGATATTGGGGATATATATTTGAATGAATATTTATGAAAGGCATCTCTGAAGAGAAAAAATTTATACTCAATAAGGTTGAAGCACTTACCTCAGGTAAAACTCCAGGAAATCATAAAAGCTAAGTAAAACTCAGATATGCCAAACACTAAAATAATGTCCTAAACATTGTGTGATATTAGTCCTTAATGCAATATTTATAAAATATGAATGGTCATGTAAATATTTTAATGACAAGTTAAAGATTAAAAAAATAATATTTATATACCATTGCATTTTCCTTGCTATCCACTGATGGCCTCCTTTTTCAGATATTAAGAAAAATCTTACTTAGAATTTATATTATTATATTTTCTTGCACATTATTATAATACAAAGCACTGACAAAATGCTTTAAATACCGTGATGCAAAATCAGTATAATCCTGTTTACAAGAAAATATGTAATATTGACAGCTTGGCTGAAAATTCAATTTAAATTTAAAGGCAACCTATACTTCTAGAAAAACAGAGACCAAAGAATTATGCTCCGAACACCTCCGATTCAAGATTCTGGGAGCCATTTAGGGAGACTACAGATGAACATTGAAGGAGTTCGCCATTCCTACTGCATATTTGGAAAGATGGTCAATAACTTTTTCAGTGTGGGGATATTTTCTTTTTCTTGCTAGGGGATAGTCTCTAATAATGCTTTCAAAAAAGGGTTGCAGGTCATAAGCTTTTATATTTTCCAAATTCGTAAAAAAGGTCATCATTTTGCCTCATATTACAATGATGTTTTTGTTTTGTTTTATTTATAATTTAAGGAGTCTATGTTCAAATGTACCTCCCCTTCAGCACTTTAAAGACTATTCTATTCTCCTTTTGTGCCAATAATTGATAAAGCCACAAAGAAATGATAAATGCTACAGGTGATGAATACCCCATTTACCCTGATGTGATCATTACACATTGTATGCCTCAATCAAAATATTTCATATACCCCCATAAATATATACACCTACTATGTACCCATAAAAATTAAACATTAAAAAATAAAAATTGATAAGAAAAGTTTGTTGTCATATGTAGGCAATCTTTCACCTATTTCTCCCACAAATCCTCAATGCATTTCCCTGGTAACTCTTAGGATTTTGTTTTATTTGCTTGATTTGAAATTAAACTCTCATGTGGTGTACATGTATGTATATGCTGTGTGTGTGTGTGTAAAATGTATATACATATACTGATGTATATATTTGCATGTGGTTTTACTATTCTCTGTCTTCTAAGCCTGGGACATACTTGGCTTTTTCTTATTCAAATATTAGTTTTCATCACTTCCCAATAGTGTTCCTTCTCGGACCTCTGTACAATTGATGTTGCAATTTTTAAACATCTAGTCTATGTTGATTGGGGGAAATGTTTCTCCACAATTTTGATGTTTGTTTCCATGTTGAGAAGACAAAAATTTGGAATCCTTTAACACTGCCCCAAAGAGTGACATACTTATTTGCGGGTTTTGAAAAATGTCTCTCTGTCCCATCAGCCTTTTGTTTTGACCTGTTAAGATTGATTGCTAGACTATCTTTATATATAAAGTTCATTGACAATTCCAGGAAAGAAAGCTAACATCCTTGTCCATAAGTCCAGAATTTTATTTACCCTGTGATGTGGTTTGGCTGTGTCCCCATGCAAATCTCATCTTGAATTGTAGTTACCATAATCTCCAGGTGTTGTGGGAGGGACCTGGTAGGTGGTAATTTAATCATGGGGAACATTACCCCCATGCTGTTCTCTTGAGAGTTAAGTTCTCATGAGATCTGATGGGCTTTTTCTCTCTTTTGATCAGCACTTCTCCTTGATGCCACCACGCAAAGAAGAACTTGCTTGTTTCCCCTTCTACCATGATTGTAAGTTCCCTGAGGCCTCTCCAGCCATGCTGAACTGTGAGTCAATTAAACCTCTTACCTTTAGATATTACCCAGTCTCAGTTTGTCTTTATTTGCAGCATGAGAATGGACTAAACCTTGCTAAGAAGCAGAAACCCCATATGCTCAGTGTCATGAAAAAGCTCATGTTACCAGTCATCAGAAAGTTTGTTCTGCCTTTCATCCAAGCTCCTAAACACTGTTTCTGCCTAATGAACAGATCTCCTTTCTCTTCACTAACTAATGTCTCTCACTACAGTGACCAACCCAAGTAACATTTGGGCTCTTTCTGCCCCCATCCTTAATCCTTGTTTCATCATCTCCACACCCAGAACCCCCTTGGTGTGGATCCTACATTCCATAGATGTAAACCTAAGTTTTTATCTTGGCTTATGTATTTCAACAGTTTTCAGTTCTTCAATGATTACTCACAATTTCTGGCTCTTCAAGATTTCTCCTCTTTGATTACTAATGTATCTATTTCTTTATTTTTAAAACTTTTATTTATTTCTAAGATGTGACATGAAATGGAAAGACTGCAGTGTACTCTTAGTTCACTGTCATAAAATCAGATTTATCCAGAATCATAAAGGAATATTTACTTCAACAAAACTAAAATATTTTTTCTTTTGTTTTGACAAAACAAACTGGCAAAACATACTGTATTTGGCTTTGACAAGAAAATGAACAAGACACATTCACCCATTCCATATTATAATAAAATCCAATTCTAGTACAATATTCTTCTAACAACAATATGGCAATGATTTATATTTAACTTTAAAATAATTGTGTGTCTATCTCACATAACTTGTTCATTGTCTTTTAAAGTGTGGCAATAAACCAGGCATCTCTGTTATGTATTAAGAATAAGATTTCATTATAAGTTTGAATAAGGCAGTAAATCAAATTAATCACCTTTAAGATGTAATTAAAAATATACCTCCAGGAAATAATAATTATTCTAAATTTTTAATATTTAAAGGGCCATCTATTTTTTTATCTTCTATTTAATGCCCTTAAGTATTTTTTTTCTCCTTGTTGCAGGAAAAAACCTGTTACTGTATTTTCCAGAAAGTCCTTTTGTTTTATACTTTCTGGTCAGATGCTGCAAATCAGAAACTTGCGCACAATTGGAAAGTGAAAAGCGAAGAAGTCACAATTCTCAGCATGAAGCTAAGGCTAAGATCAGAAAGAGTCCTTGTAAATTACTTGCTTTTCTGTTGTAGAGAGCTGAGAAGCTCTCCAGCACAGTGTAAGCTTTCTGCCAATGCTTGGACTCTGGGTATCCTGAAACTTCTTTCCCAGGCATTCTAACAGTTGTGTATATGTGTATATATAAATTACATTAGATGTAATGTATATAAAAATATTTTGACATTTTAATAAATTAAATGGATGAAAGTATACATATTTTAATGCTGAATAAAAGTTACCAGAAACATCTATGTAATGTTTTTTGTTGTGGTTTCTACAGTTTAGTTTTTTATTTGTTACAGCCATGCCATTCCTCTCTGCATGAAAATACAAGCATGACTACTTCTTTAAAGAAACTGCAACCCACAATCATGTTCCAAGGCAGCTGCAAGATCACTAAAGCAACTTTCAATGAGTAACTTTCTCCATCATTCCATGATTCATGCCACTTAGACTGAAATGTAACGCACAAACAGATTTAATGTCAACTCTGGCGGTAACAGAGCTACTCCTGCTCCCTCAAAAATCTTTATATATATATATATATATATATGTTCTGGAATACTTGGTAGAACGTGAACGTGCAGGTTTGTTACAAAGGTATACATGTGCCATGGTGGTTTACTGCACCCATCAACCCGTCATCTACATTAGGTATTTCTCCTAATGCTATCCCTCCCCTAGCCCCCCACCACCCGACAGGCCCTGGTGTGTGATGTTCCCCTCCCTGTGCCCATATGTTCTCATTGTTCAACTCCCACTTTTGAGTGAGAACGATATAATGCTTTTAATAAACAATGTGCAACTATAAAAAATTTGAAGCATATAGCCACAATACATCTAAGTGAATTCAAAAGTCAGGTAATTAATATAATGACTTGTTAATAATTATGAAATTCCTATAATTTATTTTTCCTATAAGAATAGAAACAAGATTTTAAAATATTAAAAATGAGTTTTCTAAAAAAAAATCAGCATTTCAACATTGTCAAACAATAAATTAGACCTAAATTAAGGAATAATAAATGACAATCTTTTTATTTCCCCAATGCACTTGACATAAATACCATTCAAATGTCACTAAGGAAATGAAACCAATTCAATAAAATTTTTTTTTACTTGAAATAAATGTTATAGTTGTGGCAAAATTTTAGGGGTTGAGTAATATGAAATTTTTCATATTTTTCTAAAGCCCTGAAATAAAGTATGTGAATGTTTGTGAATGTACACACACAGACACACACACACACAATGAAGAGCTGTAAATAATCTGTATCCATTCAAGTCACTACACTGATTCTCCTTTATAAACTGCATGACTGAGTCTCCAATAACTCACTGAGACATAGGCAGTTTTAGTTGCAACTCTTCTTTGTTTGTTTGTGTTTTTTATTTTCTCAGACAGAGTCTCGCTCTTTCACCCAGGCTGGAATGCAGTGGCACGATCTCAGCTCACTGAAACCTCTGCCTCCCGGGTTCAAGCACTTCTCTTGCCTCAGCCTCCCAAGAAGCTGGGACTACAGGTGCCCATCACCATGCTCCACTAATTTTTTTATTTTTAGTAGAGATGAGGTTTGACCACATTGGCCAGGCTGGTCTCGAACTCCTGACCTTGTGATCTGCCTGCCTCAGCCTCCCAAAGTGCTGGAATTACAGGCGTGAGCCACCGCACCTGACCACAACTCTTTTTAATTGATTATTGCTATGATGAATTTCACCTAATTTTTTTTAATTTTATTTTTTCATAAGTTTTTGGGGTACAGATGGTATTTGTTTACCTGAGTAAGTTCTTTACTGGTGATTTGTGATATTTTGCACCCATCACCAAGCAGTATACACTGCATCATGTTTGTAATCTTTTATCCCTCGCTCCTCCCACTCTTCCCCCCAAGTCCCCAGAGTCCATTGTATCATTCTTACGCCTCTGTGACCTCATACTTTACCTCATCCATATCTGTGAGAACATAACACTGTTTGGTTTTCCATTCCTGAGTTACTTGACTTGGAATAATAGTCTGCAACGTCATTTAGGTCACTGCAAACGCTGTTAATTCATTCCTTTTTATAACTGCGTAGTCTTCCATCATATATATATACCACCGTTTCTTTATCCACTCGTTGATTGATGGGCATTTGGGTTAGTTCCACGATTTTGCAATTGTGAATTGTGCTGCTATAAACATGCGTGTGCAAGTGTCTTTTTCAAATAATGACTTATTTTCCTCTGGGGAGATACCCAGTAATGAGATTGCTGGATCAAATAGCAGTTCTACTTTTTGTTCTTTAAGGAATCTCCACACTGTTTTCCATAGTGACTCTACTAGTTTACATTCCCACCAGCAGTGTAGAAGTGTTCCCTGTTCACCGCATCCACACCAACATCTGTTTTTCTATTTTTTTTTTTTTTGTTACAGCCATTCTTGCAGGAGTAAGGTGATAACATATTGTACTTTGGATGTGCATTTTCATGATCATTAGTAATGCTGAGTATTTTTTCATATGTTTATTGGCCATTTGCATATCTTCTGAGAATTGTATATTCATGTCCTTAGCCCACTTTTTCATAGGATTGTTTGATTTTTTTCTTACTGATTTGTTTGAGTTCATTGTATATTCTGGATATTAGTTCATTGTCAGATGTATAGATTGTGAAGATTTTCTCCCACTCTGTGGGTTGTCTGTTTACTCTCCTGGCTGTTCCTTTTGCCATGCAAAACTCTTTAGTTTTGTTAGGTCCCAGCTATTTATCTTTGTTTTTATTTCATTTGCTTTTGGGTTCTTGGTCATGAAATCCTTGCCTAAGCCAATGTCTAGAAGGGTATTTTTTCCCCTATGTTATCTTCTAAAAATTTTAGTTTCTGATCTTAGATTTAAGTCTTTAATCCATCTTGAGTTGATTTTTGTATAAGGTGAGAGATGAGGATCCAGTTTAATTCTCCTACATGTGGCTAGCCAATTATCCCAGCACAGCATCTGTTGAAAGGGTGTCCTTTTTTTTTTTTGCTTTGTCAAAGATCAGTTAGCTGTAAACATTTGGGTTTATTCCTGGGTTCTCTATTCTGTTCCTTTGGTCTATGTGCCTACTACTATATCAGTACTGTTTTGGTGACTATGGCCTTACGGTATACTTTGAAATCAGGTATTGTGATACCTTCTTTTGTTCTTTTTTGCTTAGTCTTGCTTTGGCTATGTGGGCTATTTTTTGGTTCCATATGGATTTCAGAATTGTTTTTTTCTAATTCTGTGAAGAATGATGGTGGTATTTTGATGGGGATTGTGTTGAATTTGTAGATTGCTCTTGGCAGTATGGTAATTGTCACAATATTAGTTCTACCCATCCATGAGCATGGGATGTGTTTCCATTTGTTTGTGTCATCTACCATTTCTTTCAGCAGTATTTTGCAGTTTTCCTCGTAGAGGTCTTTCAACTCCTTGGTTAAATATATTCTTAAGTATATATGTATATATATATGTATATATGTAATATGTATATATATATATATATATATTTGCAGCTATTGTAAAATGGGTTGACTTCTTGATTTGATTCTCTGCTTGGTCACTGTTAGTGCATAGAAGAGCTACTGTTTTGTGTACATTAATCTCGTATCCAGAAATTTTGCTGAATTCTTTTATCAGTTCTAGGAGCTTTCTGGAGGAATTCTTGGGGTTTTCAACGTAAATGATCATACCATCAGCAAACAGTGATAGCTTGACTTCCCCTGTACTGATGCGGATGCCCTTTATTTCTTTCTCTTGTCTGATGGCTCTGGCTGGGATTTCCAGTACTGTGTTGAAGAGGAGTGGTGAGAGTGGGCATCCTTGTCTTGATGCAGTTCCCAGAGGGAATGCTTTCAATTTTTCCCCATTCAGTATTATGTTGGCTGTGGGTTTGTCACAGATGGCTTTTATTACAGTAGGGTATGTCCTTTGTATGCTGATTTTGCTGAGAATTTTGATAGTAAAGCGATGCTGGATTTTGTCAAATGCTTTTTCTACATCTATTGAGATGATCACGTGATTATTGTTGTAAATTCTGTTTATGTGGTGTATCACATTTATTGACTTACATATATTAAACCATCCATCCCTGCATCCGTGGTATGAAACCCACTTGATCATGGTGGATTATCCTTTTGATATTTTGTTGGATTTTGTTACCTAGTATTTTGTTAAGGATTTTAGAATCTATGTTCATGAAAGATATCAGTCTGTAGTTTTCTTTTTTGGTTATGTCCTTTCTTGCTTTGGGTATTAGGGTGAGTCTGAGTTAATGAGTTAGGGAGGGTTCCTTCTTTCTGTATCTTGTGGAGTAGGGTCAAAAGGATTGGTACCAGTTCTTCTTTGAATGTCTGGTAGAATTCTGCTGTGAATCCATCTGGTCCTGGACTTCTTTTGTAGGTAATTTTTAAATTACCATTTCAATCGCGCTGCTTATTATTGGTCTGTTCAGGGTATCAATTCTCCCTGATTTAAGCTAGGAGGGTTGCATTTTTCCAGGATTGTATTCATCTCTTTTAGGTCTTCTAGTTTATGTGCATAAAGGTGTTCATAGTAGCCTTGAGTAATCTTTTGTATTTCAGTGGTGTCAGTTGTAATATCTCCTGTTTCGTTTCTTAGTGAGGTTATTTGGATTTTCTCTCTTCTATTCTTGGGTTAATCTTCCTGATGGTCTATTGTAGCTGGCTGCCACTATTACTACTTGAGACCATCACTACAGCAGTTATTACTGTTACTGCTTGAGACCATCATTACAGCAGTTACTACTGTTACCACTTGAGATCATCGTTACAAGACTGAACGAAGGGAGGAACGTAGAAATGAAAACTTAAAGCAAAAGAAACTGTTCTAAGGAAAGGCAACACGGGGAGAAGAAGAGCACTCCCTGCTTCTAGAGAGCAAAGACAACCCCCCTTGAGCTCCTGCAGCCCTTCTTATTTATTGGGTAACAAGAGCAAGGAGGAGGAGGTAATGATTAGTCAGCTGCTTAATTGATCACAGGTTCATATTATTACTAACTGGCTTCAGATGTACCTAATCACAAAAAACATTTGTGCGGCCTACAACAGTCCATCAATTTTATTCATCTTTTCAAAGAAGCAGCTTTTGGTTTTATTTATCTTTTGTATTGTTTTATTTGTTTCCATTTCATTTAGTTCTGCTCAGATCTTGGTTATTTCCTTTCTTCTGCTGGGTTTGGGTTTGTTTGTTCTTGTTTCTGTAGTTCTTTGAGGTGTGACCTTAGATTGTTTGTGCTCTTTCAGACATTAGAAGGCTATTAAGAACAACTTTAAATTATTTATGGCATTCACTGATTTTTTTAAAATTATAATTTCATAGATTGTAACAATTTATGGGCCAGAATACTTTGTGAGGGTATGTAAATCTAAAGATTCAATTGCTCATTCAGAGACATTTTCTTCAACAACACGTCAACAAATTAGATGGGTCACATGGATTCTCAAGATAATAATTTTTACTGTTAAATGACAAAAAGTATATAGGCCTATGCACAAGGACAAATTATCAGAATTTAGAAAAAATAGTCATTTACCCACACTCTTTTATAAAAAGGAAAGATAAGAAAAGAAATCCTCTGGTCTAGTTTGTCTTAGTGTTGTATTCTGCAACTGGCTTCAGGAACATCTTTTTTTTTTTTTTCCAGTACAAGAACTTAATAATAGCCTTGCCAAAATATGTCACTGCCTTTGCTGACACTCTAAAACATTTAATTTGACATTTAACAATGCATTTCATGAAGAAATAAATATATTAGATATCAACTTTTACACAAAAAATAATATGTTAACATTAACATCACATTACACTTATTTTTAGCAGTTTTACCCCAAAATTGGCATCAAATGCTACTGAAGTTTTCTTGGTCAATGTGGTCTCCTCTATACTTTTTGAAGTGGATGTTTGAAGTTGCTGTTGAGTATATGTTCCAAAACTCTTTAAGATCATAAAAGATTTATATAGAAAAGCCTTGGTTTTGCATTGAAATACTTAAATGTTCTACTTTTATGCAGATAATATAATTAAACCTTTATTTTTCCTTATTAAATTGTGTGAAATATACACAAAGAAAATGTAAAATTCATTTAAAGTAACTGCCAAGTGAACTCTGATATTATCTATCACTCCTATCCAGAAATAGCACATTCCCAACATCCCAGAGGACTCCAGATGCTCTTGCAAATGACAACCTCCTCTCGGCACCTTAAGGCTGTATAAATAGTATTATTTTGTTCTTAATTAAGAATCACGTGGCTGGGTGAGGTGGCTCATGCCTGTAATCCCAGCACTTTGGGAGGTCAAGGCGGGTGGATCACGAGGTCAGGAGATGGAGAACATCCTGGCTAACACAGTGAAACCATGTCTCTACTAAGAATACAAAGAACAAGAAAAATTTAGCCAGGCATGGTGGTGGGCACCTGTAGTCCCAGCTACTCGGGAGGCTGAGGCAGGAGAATGGTGTGAACCTGGGAGGCGGAGCTTGCAGTGAGCCAAGATCACGCCACTGCACTCCAGCCTGGGCGACAGAGTGAGACTGTCTCAAAAAAAAAAAAAATTGAATTAAAAATAAAAATAAAAAGAATCATGTTTCTATTCTATATAATGAAGTTTAATTGTTTGTTTTTGGAACTTTTAAGTGTATAGACATGATATATATGTTGGGAGTATTTTATTTCTTCAATATTAACTTTTTAAGATTTTACACTTTATCATATGTAAGCACAATATATTTTTTTTATTTTGAATAGCACTGAAAACTTTACTTTTACAGAAAAAATGGTAACTTGGTCACCTATGTACCTATTGTGTAAAACATAAACTTTTACATTCAATCAATGCCATGTTAGTTAATTATCTGTTTGGAATCCTATATTACCTACTAACACCTCAAAGCTCAACTGAAACAATGTATATTGAAATTCTATGTGGCATGCTTTGCCTTACTATCTCTAGAGTTTGATATATTATATTATCATCTTATTATCTCAGATATTTACATGCCTGGAATATAACGTGCCAGTTCCCCTTGCATTCCTAAAACGACAATTGGTTATTCTCATAAGCTTATTAAGGGTAATATTTAAAATAATAATAAGAATAATTTTTGCTTCATCCTCATAAAATTATTGTTTTTGAAATTTTCCTGAATACTTGACAAAAAATTCAACGAATCAAAATAAAAATTCTATTGTATTACCTGCACAGAAGTAGAATAAGTATTTCAAAGTTGCATTTTATAGATTCATTCAATTAATCATTCTCAAATAAACATATCTTAATTAATTTATGAATTTGCTTATGTTAAATAAGAATTATTTTTATGCTTTGGCAACCAAGAATACCTAAAATTAGTTTTTTCATTTATTTGCAGTAACAATTAACCTGGGTTGTCTAGTGTTTCCTTTTATTACCTTGTCATTCATTTTTTATCTTTTTTTTTGTTTGAATGTTACCTTGAGGTTTTTTATCTGTGTGTACATATGTATGTAAACTATATGTGTGTTTATATATATGTAACTTATATGTGTGCATATAAAATATAATATATGCACATATAATACTTTTGGGATATGAACATGTAATTTGTGCTTATATCTATTCCCCTTATAATAAGTGCCATCAAATCCTATATTTTGAATTATAGGAAGTATAAGTATAGAAAGCTAGGTGTGTTACTGAATATTTGAGCTTGATGATCTTTTGAATCCTTGTATTATCTGCTTATATGTTTAAAATACATTGCCTATAAAAGGAGCCATAATGGAAATGATAATTATGTCATTTAAAATATCTATACTGACAATGTATACCATAATCTATGTTTTCCCATCTGACTTCACATTTTGGTATAAAAATGGGAGAAAAAAATTTCCATTCGTCAATTATTTTCTCATTAATTTCTAAAGATTATATTTCTATATGCCACATTAATTTTAGACTTTCTGATTTGAACATAACAAAATCCATACAAGATGCTCCACATTATTGGAAACTGTCTCAACTTAGAGGTTATAGGACTCATAAACTTTCGGAATGATATTTTCATTAGTCTTGGCTCACTCTTCCTTATAATGGACTGTTGCACATTGTTTTACACTGTATCATCTCACAGACCTCACAATTTCCTCCTCAATTGGTTTTCAGATTTTCTCCTTCATAACCTCCGACCTCTCTCAGCATTCCTTCCTTGGAAATTTTTATAATAAATTATAATACAATAAGAATTCCCATAATACGTTTCTATTTTAGTTATTTTGCTTTATCTTCTGCTGCTCCTTATTTATTCTCTCAATGTCTCACTACTCTCTGAATGTAATGGTATACTTGGTTCTTTGTTTTTATGCATATATCCTTTCTGTCTCTAGATGAGTTTTCTTTGTGTGATTTTTCTTTTATCAAATTATTATTTATACATTTATAGACACATTTCCTTAGTGAATTATTCTCTGACTCTCCCAAGCTAAATTAGTTGTTTTCTATGCCTTCATCAAATTTAAAAGGGAGACCATACAATTAGGCTCCTTGTATGAAAACCAAGCTCTGCTACTCACTTACTGTGTGACTTTGAGAGAATTCTGTATCTTTGTGTCTTGATATCATAATCCACAATATGAAAATACTAAAGAGTCAAATTTTTTGTTGTCATCATTCCACAGGAAATATTAACACACATCATGGGGTTGTGGAAATCATTTCATTAAAATTTATTCAATGGTTTTAGAAATATGCTTGGCATATATTAAATTATCAATATCAGTTATTTTCACTATTAAAATATTGCCGTCTTTAATCCATTCTATATTTTCTATTTTCTATATTTAGCTTTCTGACTATATTTTAAGCTTTACAGTGGCAGGAGGTGCTATTTAAATTTCTATCCTTATTGTCTCTCATAGTAAAAAAATGTGAGTTAAGCAATATGTTTATTAAATAGGTAGAGCTTACTGCCTCAAAATTACCAAGTAATTATTGTTGAACTTTACAATTCACACTCAATAATCTTTTCTTGTTGTAAAATAGAAAACCCTTGAGTGGAATTATTGATTTCTTTCTAATCCAACCTGTGGTTTTCATGAAGCCTAAGTATAATAAGGAAAGTGCTGGGCCCCATTAGAATATTTCTGGTTAAATGAAGCCTTTTAAATGTATTATAACTGTACTACTGGATTAAAATGTGAAAAAAGAACACTTTTTAATTGATAACATAGACTTTAAAACTATTCTATTTTGTGTCATTCCAAATAATAAAATCTTAAAATTTGTTAATTTAGAATGTGGTTAACTGACAAGTTTTAGTTTTGTAGATACAATATTAATAAATAAGCTATTGTTATTCTTGAAATAATTTATTTAACACTTCCCAAGAAAAAGAGGCAAAAGTACAAATGTAGATATCCAACTTAAGCAGAATAAGTAAAAGCTGTATAAGAATCCCTTCTCTTCATGATCAATTTATTTCCATGGAAGGCTTTATAAAAGAGTCTCAGAAATAATCTATGGATAAACATACTACATTTCTATTTCCTGCAATACAGGGTTAGGAATGTTTGGCTTTCACTGTTAGAAATGAATGAGATTAAAGTTCTTTTATTAATAACCCTACAATGTCCTCTAAAGGTTCAAGTGAAAGGAAGATTCACAGATCTCTCATTTTAAATTAAAAAGCTAAAAATGATTAAGCCTAGTAAGGCACATCCAAAGCTGAGATAAGCCAACAACTAGACCTCTTATACTGTTGCAAGAATCAGGAGACCAGAGAGACCACTGGGTGAGACAGGAGGATTTTATTTAGGTAGCCAAGGGCTCAGCAGATTAACATCCAAAGGCTGAGAAAGGAACA
Organism: Homo sapiens; assembly: GCF_000001405.40. Classification (NCBI taxonomy): domain Eukaryota; kingdom Metazoa; phylum Chordata; class Mammalia; order Primates; family Hominidae; genus Homo; species Homo sapiens. The sequence goes on from NC_000003.12 coordinate 80,733,598, forward strand.
AAGACAAGGCTTGACTTTTATACATGCGTTTGACAGGGGCCAGGTCAGGTTTGTGGAGTGAAACCTGAGGCGGGAAAACACGCTTGCAGAAGAAGAACATGGGTAGTTAATCACACTGTGACAGGTCTTGCAAATCAGGCATGTCTTGTGACCTTTATCATCCTGCACAGATGGGAAAACAGGAACTTACAAAATCCTTGCAAACTTTCAGAAATAGTTACAAACTAGTTATGAGAGCAGAACAAAGAATGATGGCACGGGGAGAGAATTCCAGGGGGAAACTGATAAGAACTTGTTTTTCTTGTCCCTGCACTTGGAGCCCATTTATTCGGGGCCCCTGCTAGGCCTTGCAGATAATGTTACCATAGCTCCAGCTGGACTTTGGAGTGAGTCAGCCTGGTCAGGGAAGGACTTGTTTTCCTTGTAGTTGTTTTTCTTTCTTATATTTCCTGCTTCAGTACCATTGTGAATGCAAAGAAAACAAATGTCTTCAACAAAACCAAAAATGCTACTCAAGTGAACACACAAATGGTTAAGAGAGTGAAATAGCCTTATTGCTGACACAGAGAAGGTTTTTGTGGTCTGGAAAGAATATCAAACCAGCAACAACATTCCTTTAAGAAAAAGCATAACCCACAGCAAAATCCTAACTTACTCTCTTCAATTCTATGAAGGCTGAGAAAGGCAGAAAGTTGCAGAAAAAAATGTGGTTCAGGATGTTTAAGAAGCTGTCTCTGTAACATAAAAGTGCAAGTTGAAGCAACAAGTGCTGATGTAGAAGCTGTAGCAATTTAGAGGATCTAGCTAAGACCATTGACAAATTTGTCAGAGGTGTTTGAACCAGAGCAACTCTATCTTGAATAGGGCCTGGGTAAAATAAGGCTGAGACCTACTGGGCTTTACTCCCAGTCAGTGGGTCTAAGTCACAGGATGAGACAGGAGGTTGGCAAAAGATACAAGTAATAAAAACCTTGCTGATAAAACAGGTTGCAGTAAAGAAGTCAGCTAAAACACACCAAGATTGCTATGAGAGTGACCCTAGTCTTCCTCACTGCTATACTCACACCAGTGCCATGACGGTTTACAAATGCCATGGCAACATCAGGAAGTTTCCCTCTATGGTCTAAAAAGGGGGAGGAATTTTCAGTTCCAGAAATTGCCCACCCCTTTCCTAGAAAGCTCATGAATAACCCACCCCTTGTTTAGCACATAATCAACAAATAAGCATAAAAATGGGCAACCAGCAGCCCTCTGGCTGCACTGCCCATGCAGGAGCCATACTTTTATTCCTTTACTTTCTTAATGAACTTGCTTTCACTTTATTCTATGGACTCGCCCTGAATACTTTCTTGAATGAAATCCAAAAACCCTCTCTTGGGGTCTGGATTGGGACCACTTTCCAGTAACAAAAGTGGCTACATTAAACAATAGATTTTCATTACAGATGAAGTAGCCCTCTATTGGACTTCTCTAAATTCAGATCTACATTAACCCCTAACAAAAAGTCGGCCTGTCCTTTGAAGCTTTGAAGCAAGCAATTGACTTCCCTCCAGCCATAAAATTCCTACATGAACTTTACCCACAGTGGAAAAGAAAGTGGTTTCCTGAGATGAAACCTACTTCTGCTGAAGATGCTGTGAGCATTGTTGAAATGACAACAAAAATTTTAGAATATTACATAAACCTACTTAATAATGCAGTAAAAGAATTTGAGAGAATTGACTTCAATTTTGAAAGAAGTTCTGTGGGTAAAATGCTAAATGTAGATCTGACTTTAAGTTGAAGCTAATGCTCATTTATCACTCTGAAAATCCTAGGGTCCTAAAGAATTACGCTAAAGCTACTCTGCCTGTGTTCTATAAATGGAAAAACAAATCCTGAATGAAAGCATATCTGTTCATCGCATGGTTTCCTGAATAGTTTAAGCCCATTATTGTGACCTACTACTCAGAAAAAGTAAAATATTTCTTTCAAAATATTACTGCACATGAACAATGCACCTAATTAACCAATAACTCTGATAGAGATGTACAAGGAGATTAATTTTGTTTTCATGTCTGCTACCAAAACATCCATTCTTCAGTCCATAAGAAAACAAGTAATTTTGACTTTCAAGTCTTATTATTTAAGAATACACTTTATAAGATTATTGCAGCCATAGATACTGATTCTTCTAATGCATTTGGGCAAAGTCAATTGAAAACCTTCTGGAAAAAAAATCACCATTTTATATTCTATTGAGAACACTCATGATTCATGGGAGAAAGTCAAAATATCAACATTAACAAAGGTTGGGGAGAAGTTGATTCCAACCCTCTTAAATGACTTTAAGGGGCTCAAGACTTTATGGAGAAATTAATTGAGGTTGTGGTGGAAATAGCAAGAAAACTAGAATTAGAAATGCAGCCTGAAAATGTGACTGAATTTGTTGCCATCTCATGATAAAACTTGAATGGATAAGGACTTACTTCTTACAGATAAGTAAATAAAGTGGTATCTTGAGATGAAATCTACTTCTGTTGAAGAGGCTGCAAGCATTGTTGAAATAACAACAAAAAAAAATTAGAATATTACATAAACTTAGTTGATAATGCAGTAACAGAATTTGAGAGGATTGACTCCAAATTTTAAGGAAGTTCTGTGAGTAAAATGCTCTCAGCACCCCACGTTACAGAAAAATATTTTGTAAAAAGGAGAGTCAATTAATGAGGCAAACTTTCTTGCCTGTTTCTTATTGTAAAAAATTGCCATAGCCACCCAAACGTTCAGCAACCACCAGTCTGATTAGTCCATAACCATTAATATAGAGGCAGGACCATTCACCAGCCAAAGGATTATGATTCCCTGAAGGCTCAGATGATCATTAGCATCTCTTAGCAATATAGTATTTTTAAGGAAGGCATGTATATTGTTTCGTAAGCAATATTGTATACACTTGATAGACTGCAATATAGTGTTAACATAACTTTATATGCCCTGGGAAACCAAAAAAAAAAAAAAATGCGTGACTCGCTTTATTGCAATATTCATTTTATTGACATGTCTGGAACCAAACTTGCAAGATCTCCAAGATATGAATGTATCGAAGTCAGGGAGAAGGGTTATTGGTGGAGCAATAACAGAGAGGACAGAAGACAAGAGGAAGGAGCAAGTCTCCTTTCACTCTTCCAGCCTTCCAACCTCACTCCCTGCACTCTACTTACAGATCTTAAAAGGTAGCCAGCTGACAAAGAAGAAATGACATTTGCAGACTCCAATGCTGGAATGATAATGTAAAATATACAAAGATGTATTTGGACTGGGAACCCAGATCTTAATAATTCACATAAAATTGTAATTACACAGTTATGCCTGGAGTGCTCAACTGATGTGAGCCTGATGGTAACTGAGGTTGATAAAGGCAGTAATGACATGGAGAAATAAATTTAGACTATAAAAATAGGAGTACATAATGATAGAGGATAAATTTTAAGTCACCCAGGAATAATGTAATATATCAACTTCCAATCTTATACAGTCTTTTAATTTTTTTAATGCACTAATTCCAATGAAGATTTAATCTCAGATTTTAATTATACTTGTGAATTACAAAACTGTATCTTACTAGTGGAGACTAATGCTTACACAAATGAAAAAGTGACTGTGTAATTTATGTCCATAAATTTATAAAAATAACTCACTGCATCTTCAGACGCATACCATGCATGTGAGTGTTTGAGGTCACGGTATTAGTCTGTCCTCACACTGCTAATAAAGACATACCTGACACTGGGTAATTTATAAGGAAAAAGAGGTTTAATAGACTCACAGTTCCACGTGGCTGGGGAGGACTCACAATAATAGTGGAAGTCAAAGGAGGAGCAAAGTTACATCTTAAATGACTGCAGGTGAGAGACAGAGCATGTGCATGGGAACTCCCCTTTATGAAACCATCATATCTCGTGAGACTTATTCATTATCACAAGAACAGCATGGCAAAGATCCGCCCTCATGATTCAATTACTTCTCACTGGGTACTTCCTACTACACATGGTTATTATGGGAGCTACAGTTTGAGATTCGCGTGGGGACACGGCCAAACTGTATCAGTCATGTAAAAAAATGAAATAATTTCACCTTTCATATGTAGCTGGAGTCCCAGAAATAATTTTTTTCTCCAAAAAATGCTTCTAGATATTCCTTTGTTTTGGGGACAAGCTTCCTGTACATTTTTCTTTTATAGTTTTGTGAAAAAAAAAACTCTTCAATATTGCAAATTTAAACCTATTAGATGTCACAAAATGTTTATCTGAGAAAAAGTAGTAACAAAATGTCTTGTGAAGTTATCAACTACAATATGCATGCTGTTCACTGAGGTTAGCAAATTCTTGTAAAAACCAGGGTGCTGTCTCAGGAATTACGATGATCTCTTCTTTTTGGAGTAACACTATTGCTGCAAATTCTGATAAATTGAGATGGTCTCAAATGGTGAGTATCAGCAAAAACGTGAAAAAGAAAAAAAAACCTTCAAACAAGGCATATCAAAAAAGACAATCATCTCTACTGATTTTAAACATCATTCCAAGGCTCAGAGATTTACAGAAAGGAATGAGTTTCAGCCAGCATATGGTTGCAGTAGTAATATTGTCATTAAATTTGGGTTTGGGAATACATGCTAAGCATAAACAAACAAGAGCTAACAAGACCTGTGGCCTAAGCAAGGATGAGGAGGAGCAAGAGCAGTGGGCAAGTCTGAGATTTTGAGTGACCAGCTTCCAACAGCAATACGTAACAGCAAAATGAAAAGGAAACCACTTGAAATCAGGATCAAATATACACATAAAACTACTCTCTCCACTGAGAAATTACAAATATAATTAGCACTTATGGTGTATTAGTCCGGTCTCACGCCGCTAATAAAGACATGCCCAAGACTGGGTAATTTATGAAGACAAGACACTTAGTTGGCTTACAGTTCAGAGTGTCTGGGGAGACCTCAGAAAACCATCAGATCTTGTAAGAACTCACTATCACAAAAAAAGCATGGGGTACCCACCTTCATGATTTAATTACCTTCAACCGGGTCCCTCCCACCACACACGGGGATTATGTGAACTATAATTCAAGATGAGATTTGGGTGTGGACAAAGCCAAACCATATCATTCCACCTTTGGCCCCTCCCAGATCTCATGTCCTCAAAATTCAAAACACAATCATTCATTTCCAATAGTCCCCCAAAATCTTAGCCCTTTCCAGCACTAACCCAAAAGTCCAAGTTCAAAGTTTCGTCTGTGACAAGGCAAATCCCTTTCACCTATGAGTCTGTAAAATTGAAAGGAAGTTAGTTACTTCCTAGATACAATTGGGGATACAGGCATTGGGTAAATACACCCATTCCAAATGGGAAATTGGCCAAAACAAAGGGCCTACAGGCCCCATGCAAGTCTGAAATCCAGTAGGGCAGTCATTAAGCCTTGAAGTTCCAAAATAATTATCTTTGACTTCATGTCTCACATGCAGGGCATGCTGATGCAAAGGGTGGGCTCACACAGCCTTGGGAAGCTCTGTCCCTGTGGCTTTGCAGGGTGCAGCACTCCTCCTAGCTGCTTTCATGGGCTGATAGTGAGTGCCTGTGGCTTTTCCAGGTGCACAGTGCAAGCTGTCAGCAGATGTATCATTCTGGGGTCTAGAAGATCGTGCCCTTCTTCTCAAAGCTCCACAAGGCAGTGCCCCAGTGGGAACTCTGTGTGGGGGGCTCTGGCCTCACATTTCCCTTCCACACTGCCCTAGGAGAGGTTCTCCATGTTGGCTGTCTCCCTGAAGCAAATTTCTGCGTGTACATCAAGACATTTCCATACATCCTATACAATTTAGGTGAGGTTTCCAAATCTCAATTCTTGACTTCTCTGCACCCACAGGCTTAACACAACATGGAAGCTGCCAAGGCTTGGGGCTTGCACCATCTTAAGTAATGGCCCAAGCTGTACCTTGGCCCCTTGTAGCCACAGCTGGAGTTGAAGCAGCTGGGACACAGGGCACCATGTCCCGAGATTGCACAGATCAGGTGGGCCCTGGGCCCAGCCCAGGAAGTCATTTTTTTCCTCTTAAGCCTCTAGGCCTGTGATGGGAGGGGCTGCTGCGAAGGTCCCTGAGATACCCTGGAGACATTTTTCCCATTTTCTTGGTGATTAACCTTCAGCTCCTCATTACTTATGCAAATTTCTGCAGTGGGCTTGAATTTTCCCCTCAGAAAATGGGTTTTTCTTTTCTATCCAATTTTCCGAAATTTTATGCTCTGTTTCCTCTTGAATGCTTTGCCACTTAGAAATTTATTCCACCAGATACCCTAAATCATCTCTCTCAAGTTCAAAGTTCTACAGATCTCTAGGGCAGGGGCAAAATGCCACCCAGTCTCTTTTGCAAGGCATAACAAGAGGCACCTTTACTCCAGTTTCCAGCAAGTTCCTCATCTCCATCTGAGACCACTTCATTGTGCATCTCACTATCAGCATTTTAGTCCAAACCATTCAAGAAGTCTCTAGAAAGTTTCAAACTTTCCCACATCTTCCTGTCTTCTGAGCCCCCCAAGTCTCTAGGAAGTTCCAAACTTTCCCACATTTTCCTGTCTTTTTTTTGAGCCTTCCAAACTGTTGCAACCTCTGCCTGTTACCCAGTTCCAAAGTTATTTCCACATTTTTGGGTATCCTTATAGTAGCATCCCACTCTCTGAGGTACCAATTTACTGTATTAGTCCTTTCTCAGGCTGCTACTAAAGACATACCCAAGACTAGGTAGTGTATAAAGGAAATTTTTTTTTTTTTTTTTTAAGTGACTTATAGTTCAGCATGGCTGGGGAGGCCTCAGGAAACTTACAGTCATGGCTGAAAGGGAAGCAGACACATCCTTCTTCACATGGTAGCAGGAGAGAAAAGTGCCAAGCACAGGAGGGAAATCACCTTATAAATCCATTGGATTTTATGAGAACTCATTCACATTCTTGAGAACATCATGGGAGTAACTGCTTCCATGATTCAATTACCTCCAATCAGATCCCTCCAAACAGATGTTGAGATTATGGGAACTACAATTCAAGGTGAGATTTGTGTGGGGACACAGCTAAACCGTATCATATGGTCAAAGTAAGCTCTAGTATTTGGGAACAATTTTTGATCTTGAGGACTGCTAATAAAATTATATGGGAAGGGCTAAATGGATAATTGGAAGCATAAAAGTGATACAATTATATTTCTATTTCAATCTCATAAAGTATGTGATAGCAGTTAATATATTATATCCCTCATGGCAGTTTCGGGATTAGAAATTTTAGTGGCAGTAGTGAATAAATAAAGACTGAATAAATCAAGATTCTTTATTTTCCAAGTTTGTAAGTAGATACACAGAGGTTATAAACCTGGCCAAGACTCAAATACATCATCAGAGGCAGAGATAGACTAATAAAAAAAGAAAAATAGTTGACCTCACCTACAATCTATTCCAAAATAGCTACCAAGAACACGATATGTTCAACAGAACCACAAATCTTAAAACTGCCATCCTGAGCCATTACTCTTTGACATCAAAAGGAAGAGGGATAAAGTAATACCAACTTAATCTTTTATGTGCATTAAGGTTACAGCATGTGTCTTACACATCTTCTGATGTTATATTAAATATTTATTATGTAGAAAGCCATCAATGAATATTTGGAGAAAAAAAGAACGAAAGAGAGAAGAAAAAAAGGACAAATTGGAAGTTCAGCACTGTCAATTCAGGATCAATTGACAAAGCAAAATAAGTTAATAATTGAGAATTGCACCCTGAGTTTACATGTAGGTAGAAGCTCTAAGTTCTGATGTTTAATACTCATATACATCCAGTTTCACTTGCAAACTACCTGTATTACCTTTATTTAACATTGAATGTCTGAAGAAATGATACCAAAGGCATATATCAGAAAAGAGCTAGTGGATATATACAAATTCAAATTTTCTGTACAAAAAATTTAAATACCAATAAATAAAAATAAATATAAAAGTTACAAATTGATCAAAAATATTTGCAAGAGACATAACAGATAACATGATAAAAACCTTTATATAGAACTTTTGCAATGCAATTAGAGATAAAGGAAACAAAAAAGGAAAGAGTATAGATTGTAACTAATCTTTAGAATTTCTAAAGCTGTCTATGATATGATATTAAGCACAACAAAAGGATATTATTAAGCAATATAAAAGAATATTAAGCAATATGCACAGCAACAAATACATATACCTCCTTGCAATAATCTTTGGAAAGATTGTAATAACTAGGTAAATAAACATAAGCCTGCTTTATGGCATTATTATTATCAATTTCTCTTCTTACCTCTGTCTCTAAGCAAGTAGCTCTTTATGAAGAAAAATAAATAAATAAAACTTTAGGGAAGAAAAATAGATAATAAAGTAGTTCTAGAATGTGGCCACTTATTGGTATTGAATCAATACTTATAACTCAACTAGACAAAATAGGCAAAGAATGAGAGCTATATTTAGAGAGGTGTTGAGCTGTAATTGGAAAAAACAATAGCTATGGTGTCAATTAATGCTGAATTCACAATGTATTTTCTCTCTGGCTAATTGTATGGATACTGGAACATCATCTGCAGTCCCTGTTTAATAAGTTTCATCTAGTCTCTAAGTTTCAGCATTATGTCTTATGTCAGTGTGGGTGTAGGCAGGGATGGCCATGTATATTCAATAATTTTTTCTTCTTGTTCTTATTCTTTGCACTATTGTGTTTTCTTAAAGTTCTCTCTGTGTGTATGTATGTGTGTGTGTGAGTCTATATTTACACTGCGATAAAGAACTGCCTTAGACTGGGTAATTTATAAAATAAAGAAGTTTAATTAACTCACAGTTCAGCATAGCTGGGGAGGCTTCGGGAAACTTACAATCATAGCAGTAGGGGAAGCAATTATGTCTTTGTTTATATGGTGACATGAAGGAGAAGTGCCGAGAGATGCAGGAAGAGCCTCTTATAAAATTATTAGATCTCCTGATAGCTCACTCACCATCACAAGAACAGCATAGGGAAAACTGCCCTTATGATTCAATTACCTCCACCTGGCCTCTCCTTTGACACGTGGGAATTATGGGGATTACCATTCAAAATGAGATTTGGGTGGGGACACAAAGCCTAACCGTATGTGTGTGTGTGTGTGTGTGTGTGTGTGTGTGTGTGTTTGTATATGTGTTTAAACTATGATTCTTTTGGTCATTGTAGTCTATAAGATTTTCCTTTTCTGGCAGCAAATGCTATGTATATTTTCCCTAATAATTGAATCAATCTTAATTTTTTCTTTTAGTGTTATTATTATTGCTATTGTTTTAAAAGTCCTTTCAGGATGAAAGGTAGAAAAATAGTTGCAAAGCATTGCCTGTTTTTTTTTTTTCTTTACATTTTTCTCTGTTACAAATAAAATTTATTTTCATCCATGGTGTTTTTCTCTAACATAAAATTATTTCCCAGCAGTAACATTTAAATAATCTTAATGATATCAAATGTCACCTAAAAAAGGAAAAATAATGCATATCTTTTTTAGTGTTATAAATTTAGATGAGATAATGTATGTAGTGTACAAATCCAAGTCCTAGCGTATAATACAGCTCAGATAATTGCACTTGAATATGAGTAGATTTGATAATTTTACAATAATTAATTCATTGTCTTTAATAATTGAGAAAATGTGCTACATTTGATATGTATGTTTTTGGGGGAACAAGGAAAACTTATTCTTTACTTAAATTCTTTAAAGATAACTAGGCATCAGTTGTCTTTTACTAAAAGAACTTTAAGGTCCCCTTGAGCTTCAGAAGCTACAATTTTATTATGGGAACTACTAAGATTTTGACATATTATGAGATGCATTAGTGAGCTCATAAGAGTCAAAATATGCTATCATTACTTTGCCAGTCGATGTGACTAATGATAAGCATTTATAAGTGGCCAGGATAATACCAGAGGCACATGAATGCACTCTCTAATAAACACCCATGAGATAACTCTTTCCAGTGATATTTTTGTTCACATTAAATAAAAGAAGCAAAATCTTAACAAATGGGTTTAAAGTTTCTGGACAAAAAAAAATATACAGTATGATAATTACTTTTAACTATACTTTATTACACACATTTCAGCTGATTTTATTTAACAGAATTTCTGCCAAACTTTATAACTTGACAAGTCTTTTGAGATTTCCTGTTGAGAGAGAGAAAAGACTGCCACAAATTCTTTGCCACTCTGTCCATGGAGGAAAGTAATCTTCTTTCACTCCTCTGAATTTGGACAACATGTAACTTCTTTGTTCAATAATGTAGCGAAACTGACACAATGTCAATTCTAGCTAGCCTTTGAAGTGACTAGCAGTTTCTTCATTAGTATCTGGGAGCCCTGATATAGTATGTAAAAGACAATATGGAGAGACCTGAAATGACCATTAAAAGAGAGAGGTCCAGCTGAGTCTAGCCTTCCAGCTGTAACCACCAACACCTAGGTATGTGAGAAAGCGTTGTGGAACCGGCACTCCAGTTTATGACACATAAACTCTCTAATTTCTCTATCTCTGTCTTTTCTCTATCTCAGGCCATTCAGCCAAACCTTCTCCAAATTTTTGACGCCAAAAAAGAGAAAAAATAAAATGACTGTTTAAACCCTCAAGTTTTGGGAGTAGTTTTTATAGATCAAGAGAAAACCAAAATATTTACAATAGCATTTTCCCAAAAAGTTACCAATAAATACCATTTCTGAAACCAAATTTCTAAAAGGTGCATGATTTTAAGGTAGTTTATTCTTGTTAAAAACATAGTAACAGATTAAAATTTAAGAATAAAAAATAAGTGAGAACACGGTTTTTGATATAAAAGAATTTTTTGAGTGTTTGAAACCGTTTTTAATCCAAAACCTGAAATACATAGATTACATGAACACCCAGGATGCTTTATTCTTACAATAATGCAATGTAAATATTTAGATATCTGAAACGAAGTATAGCTAGATTATCTAGTATAATTAGATATACCTAGTCTTATGCAAGTAGTAAGCCAAATCAAACATAAAAATTATCAAATAAATCTAAAAAAATATACACCAATCCAAGTATTTTAATACCATAATGTCCAAACTGTGTATGGACTATAACTTGAGAGACTCTGTTTTGACTAATTTAGTCAATTTGTAAAATTAAATAATTGTTGTTATGTAACATATTTCCAGTATGCAGAATTTAAACTGTATAATGCTAATTACAGATCAACATAAACTAAAATGGTTCCAGGCAGTGAACTATGCATATTACACAAAATGTCCTATCAAAGGACTTCTTTTGTTTCCCTCCTGTCAATGATAAGGTAACTCTAATTGCTGAAAGCAGATGCTTATTAGCATTTAAAATGCACGTAAATTGACCATCAAAAAGAAGTGCTAAAGAATTTGGTCCATAGATAAGTGCCTCTACTAAAGTGTAGAAGTAAGTAGAGACTGATAGATATCTGATCACTCTGACAAGAACTGGGTGGGATGGATGGCGGAGAAACAATAAAAGAAAAACAGTAGGATAATATTAAAGGCTGTTTCTATTATGGTAAGTGAATCGATATTTCTGCGTAGTTAAATTTCACATGAGTATTAACATCAAATAAGCATTGCATTTTTAAAGCACTGAGAAATCAAAGTCTACAAATTTTGTATAAAACAGAAAATTATGTTATTTAATTAAAATGAACTCTCCTAAAAAGAGGTAGAATTGTTTTTATCTTTTTTTCCCCCATTTTTAGGTCCTTTTAAGATCATAATATAATTTTAACTATATTTTCAATGTGACTAAGGGTCATAATCACACAATTTCTCAATTTGTATCGGTACTTTATTAACTACTTTCCAGTATGACATTATACAAGTATGGCAAATAGACTAAAATTTTTAAATTACCTTATATTTCCTAATTTGTTTTCATCACATGTGATTACAATAGAAAGTAATGTAAATTATCAGTGAGTCTCCTAAATGTGAACATTATTTTTTTTAAAAAAATTATATTCAAAGTACTGAAGAATATGTATTTCTCCCTTTGGTTTTCTTGGTAACAGGTAATAAAACACATTTAACCATAAATTATTCCTGGGAGCATTATATATCTATGCATATGATAAAGCAAGCTGCAGCAAAGAGATACATATTCTAATAAGGTGTTTAGATTATATTCCCATTGCATACATGCAAGTGTTTGCCAAAGTAAATTAAGCTGGAAAGATATCATTTTCTTGTTACTGATAGAGTTCATCTATATTCAGTTGCATTTCCTTTTTAATATACATTTTACTATCAAATTTCTTCAATCTCTTTTCCTCCTTTAGAATAATCTTCCCTTACTTTTTCTCATTATAATGGTCGTAAAGTGTAAAGCATATCTTATGAGCTCTTACAAGAGCACTGAGCAAGATAATAAATTTCTATTTTTTGCTCCCAAATGTTAATACCCATTTTAATAAACATAAGCCAAACACTGTATTTTCTTTAAATTATCTAACATGTTTTAGTCTTCTAGATGTCTAAATAACGTCTAACATTAAGGGCTCCTCGTTTTTTAATTCTAATAAAGCTCTTCAAGCATTAAGGAGAAAGGAACTAGGTGAAGTGCTTTTTATATAATTAAAACAATTATCACATCACTTTCAAATTATTCATTAGTGTGTTTCACATCTACAACCTGTGACCTCTCCAATGACAAGATCATGTCATCCTAATTGAAATCACCAGAGCAAACCTCCATGTCTGTTACATAGGGAGTTCTCCAAAAAGTTTGACTGAATAAATGGATGGGTGAGTAGGTGGGTGGAAAGACTGAAGGATGAATAGAATAATGCATCGACTTTCTGAAGAGGAAAAATTATGATGGAAAACTAGAGAGCAGACATATAAATGCTTTATATCACTATATATTGTCAAAGAAAAATAGCGTCATGATACTTAGCATAAATTTGGCCCACTTTTGTTCAGCACAAGCAGAGCTAATTATACACAGGAAGGCATCTGAAAGAATTCTGAAAGACAATCTAAAATAAAATCTTTAAATTCATTGATGTCATCTCTCAAAAAGCAGTGCTTAGACATGCATGTAATTATGCAAGTCAATCATTTACATAAGAAGCATAAAAGCATCCTACAGCGGCAGAAAATTAATAAGAATAATAATTTATTCAAGCATCTGAGATACCAAGATATGAGTTATCATCCTACACAATATCATTTGTAAATTAGAGCAATGGCACCAAGGAAAAGATATTATTATTCTCTCTATTCAAAGGTACTGAAAGCAAAAGTACAAATCAGAGAGTGAAATATAGTTTTAAAACATGTCAACACATCAGCACAGTTTGGCTGAGTGGTCAGACCTCTTTCTTTATGCCATGTTGTGTGGCTGTCTTGTTCACTTCCATCTGTATTTTCTTGCTGCTCACAGTGTAATCCTCAGCAATCACACTGTAATTAACCGCAAGTATGACTTCTCCAAATTTACCAATAAAGCAACCGTTAATGTGCCCACCTTATCAAATTGTTTAACTTAGACTCAAGAAGAGTGCCTAATCCCATTTTTATGTCAAATTAGGCACAAAGTTATTAACATTTGCCTTTATATTTCACAGATATACAGATTGGCCCTCACTCTCAAAACTAAAATGAAGATTTTCTTATTTTCTCCAGGCAGCTTCCCTCTCTCTAAAGATTATATGCAAGTTCTATAAGGCTTGGCTGGAAAACTAATAATTACTGAGAAAGTCCATGGGACCTTTTATCCCCACAATCTGTTGTTGAGTACCCATGAACAAAACAACTTGCTTATCCTCTTTCAGTTGTACAATTCTTCTTTTCCTTTAATTAAAAAAATTATTTAAATTGACATATAAAATTATATGCATTTATTGTGTACAACATGATTTTTTAAAGTATATATACATTGTGGAATGGTTAAATTTAGCTAATTAATATGTGTATTATCTCACATAGTTATTTTTGTGGTGAGAACACTTAATATCCACTCTCTTAGCATTTTTCAGGAATACAATATAACATCATTAAATATAGTCACCATACTGTGCAATAGATCCCTTGAACTTATTTCCTGTTTTTTAAAAATAATTCCAACTTTTATTTTAGATTCGGGGGTACACACGCAGCTTTGTTACATGGGTATATTGCATAAAGTTGAGGTTTGGGGTATGAATGGTCCTATCACCCGGGTAATAAGCATAGTATTCGATAGGTAGCTTTTTAGCCCTTGTTCCAAGTAGTCCCCAGTGTCTGTTGTTGCCATCTTTATATTCATGTGTTTCCAGTGGTTAGCTCCTGCTTATAAATGAGAACATGCAGTATTTGGTTTTCTGTTTCTGTGTTAATTCACTTAGGATAGTGGTCTCCAACTGCATCCATGTTTGTGCAAAAGATGTGATTTCATTCTTTTTATGGCTGCCTAGTATTTAAAGGTGAATATATATTTTCTTTTATCCAACTCACTGTTGATGGGCACCTCTGTTAATGCCACGTGTCTGCTATTGTGCATAGTGCTGCAGTGAACATATAAGTGCAAGCGTCTTTTTGTTAGAACAATTTATTTTCCTTTGGGAATATAGGCAGTAATGGGATTGCTGGGTTGAATGGTAGTTTCATTTTAGGTTCCTAGAGAAATTTTCAAACTGATCTCTACCGTGGCTTAACTAATTTCAATCCCCACCAACAGTGTATAAGTGTTGCCTTTTCTCCACAGCCTTGCCAGCGTCTAGAATGTTTTGACTTTTTAATAAGAGCTGTTCTGACTAGAGTGAGATGGTATTTCACTGTAGTTTTCATTTGCATTTCTCTGATGATTAGTGATGCTGAACATTTTTTCTTCATATCTGTTGGCCTCTTGTATGTCTTCTTTTGAGAAGTGCCCGTTCATGTCTTTTGCCAACTTTTTAATGGGGTTATTTGTGTTTTGCTTGTTGAATTATTAAAATTCCTTTTAGACTGTGGATATTAGACCTTTGTCAGATGCATAGTTTGTGAATATTTTCTCCTATTCTGTAGGGTGTCTTTTTGAGTGTGTTGATAGTTTCTTTTGCTGTGCAGAAGCTCTTTAGTTTTTGTTGCAATTGCTTTTGAGGACTTAGTCATAAATTATTTTCCAAGGTTTATGTCCAGAATAGTATTTCCTAAGTTTTCTTGCAGGATTTTTTTTTATAATTTAAGGTCTTATATTTAAATCTTTATTCCATTTTGAGTTAATTTTTGTATATTTTGAAAGGTAGCGGTCCAGGTTCATTCTTCTACATATTGACAGCTAGTTATCCCAGCATCATTCATTGAATAGGGCATCCCCTCCCCACTTCGGTTGTAAAATTCTGATACAACTGAATTTATGGGAAGCCTGGTCACCAATTACCAAACTTATATATCTACTTAACAAATATTTAATGTGCTAAGCACTATGTCAGTCACAGAGAATACAACATTAAACAAGACAATGTCCTTGCTTCCTGAAGCCTACAATATTGTGACAGAGTGAGAGTGAGATAGACAAATCAATATACAAAGAAGAAAATACCAAATACTGATTAGTATTTGAAAAATGGAAAACAAGAGAATGCAATATCTATGAGAGACAATATGGATACTGTAGACTAGAAAGTACATGATTTGTGTCTCCTCTCCCTAAAGGAGGCAGTATTCCTAGACATGTTCGACCTTCGGTATGATGTTTCACATGGAAAAACAGAGTACAAATCAGAGAAGAAGAGGAAGAGCTGTTTGTTGGTAGAAAAAGCCCAGCACTGGGGAGGGGTAGCATTAGGAGATATACTTAATGTAAATGACAAGTTAATGGGTGCAGCACACCAACATGGCACATGTATACAAATGTAACAAACCTTCACGTTTGTACATGTGCACATGTACCCTAGAACCTAAAGTATAATAATAATAATAAAAAACCTCAAACAGAAAAAAAAGGAAAAAGAAAAAGCCCAGCATTACTGTCAGAACCAGTGTATCCTCAACCATGGGAACGGAGAAAATGTTTGTCTAAAGAAACAGAGAGGCAGCTAATTAAAGTTCTTGCTCAGGTGTTCCGAAGGCACCAGTGAGAGTAGCCCTCAGACAGCCAAGGAACCTAAACAGAGATTATAAATACAAGTGCAAAAAAAGAGGAGTAGATAAGCTGAGAAATCATACCTGAAAAGAACAAGCTGTATCTTCAGAAAAGGAGAAAGGACATTTCAATAGAGAAAGAGCAATACCAAGACCCTAAGTAGGAATAAATTCAGAGTCAGAGGGCTCCAGGAACAACATAAAGAAGACCAATGGGTTTATAGTGTGATGTTGAAGAACAAACTGATACTAAAATAGAATAGATAATTTGGTACTTAGGAAAGGTCCAGATATACCAGGGTAACTGGCTAGGGGTTTGTTTTAGAAGGATGAGGAGCCATTAGATAATTTTAAACATAGTTGTGACATAATTTGGCATAACATTAAAAAAATAAAGATCACTCAAAATACTGTACGTGGAATGGATCAGAATGGGGCAGGGGTGGAATCAGGGAGACCTGTGAGTAAGCCTACTGTGGAAGCTCAGACAAAAAATAATCAGGGCTGAGCCCAGTAAAACAAAAAGGAAGGGACACATTTTGGAGATAACATTGTAGAACTTGCAAATTTAGTTAGATAGCGGATGGTAGGAAAAGCAGAATTGTGAATAATTCTTAAATAACTGGCTTTAGCAACTGAGAAGACAGCTGTTTCATTTTCTGAGACAAGGAGTCCTGGGAGGAGAAGAGTATTTTGGCCATGTGTAATCTAATTTGAGTATCAGCATTGACGAGGTATAAACTAGAAAGCTGGACATAAAATCCTGGGCTAGAAGAAGTGTTCAACTTCATAGAAATGGCATTGATAGTTGTGATAGTTGACGTTATCACTAAGGGAAAGCACATAGACAGAAAAGAGAAGATAGCCCTGGAATGAGTCATGGGGTAGGATAATATTAGGCAATGAATAAGCTTTGGATTAAAACTATAACAAGTCACCACAAACTTAATGGCTTAAAACAATGCAAATGTCTTATCTTAAAATGTTGGAGGTTTCAAATCCAAAATGGATCAGAGGAAGCTGAAGGAAATAATTCATTTACTTGCTTTTGCAGCTTCCAGAAGCTGCCCCATCCCTTGGCTCTTGACTCTGCATTCCTCCTACCACTGATTACATCATCACATCTCCTTCCCTGACTCTGACTCTTCCACCTCCCTCTTTCTCTTATAAGGTTCTTTGTCCTTATGTTGGACTTATCCTCCTCATTTCAAGATCCTTAATAACATATACAAAGTCGTTTTGCCACATAACATATTCACGGGTTCCAGGAATTAAGACGTGGACATCTTCGTGGGGCCATTACTCTGCCTACCACAGGCAAGTAAGAGTCTGGATTCAATTGCACAGACTGTAACTTTAGAGCCTGCATACCAGAGTGTTTGTGGACATCAGCTACCCCTTTAAATTTCTGTGGATGGAGGTGCAATTTGGGGGAGAAAAAAATTTACTAGCCTAGTCCAGTAAATTTATAGCATTTTTAAGATGAAAAATATTAAAGATCACCTAATATCCCTCAATTGTTACACCGATGAGAGAAGTAGTAGAAAGAATTCTTCAATGGGTTTTAGAGTCACTAATTGGTGATAAAGCTAAGACTTAAGTCCAGGTCATTTTACATGCAGCTCCCTACACTCTCCTCTCTACAACATAACATGGCTTTTAATAAATTCATGTTGGATTGCAGACTACCATTTGCTGGACAGTTTGGGGTTGAATCCTGGCTCCATCACTTATAAGATAGTACCTTGGTTATCTCTGTCCCAAGTTTCTCCATCTGCAACACTAAGAGAATAATAGCATGTACCTATGAATGTGTTTATCAGGGAGTCGGGGTTCCATCAGGAAAAAAGCATCAATAGCAGTGGTATGTAGCATGAAATTTATGACATATATTAGACCTACAAAACTGAAACTGTGGTGCTCCCTTGCCTGCATTTCCTGACATTACTTGCAATTTTGATGAGACAATGGCACCAGTTTTGGCTAAGCTATGAACAGAAATAGCATGTTCTATTTCTAAGCTGAGTAATGTAAGAGCTACTTTACTATCTACACCTTGCCTTTTCCATGGCTGTTGAGAATAATGGTCTGCTATTGAGAATACAGAATTGCAGAGCCTGCAAGAGAAACCCCAATGTTCTTTGTCAGTCTTTGTGTAAGGAAAAAACTGTCTTATACCAGTAATATCTTATTTGTTACTACAACATAACATATATGAAGTTGGCATATTTTTAACTCAAAAAGGTCAAATTTCAGCAAATCTACATGTTGCAACTTGTTAGTTAAATCAGATGAATGTAATATGTTAAGAAATGTTTTAAGAAGTCATTCAATATAATAGAATGCTAATTATACTACGAATTGTGAAATTGGTTACATTTAGCTGATGATATTGTGGTTCCACAAAAATAATCTTAAAATTTTTATTTGCTTACTTGGATACTTTTGAAAAGACATGCAAAAGAAGAGAAGGAAGAGATATCATAATTAAGTAAAAATAAAGATGATGTTGAATGATTATTGCAAAAATCAACCAAAAGGCCCAAATTCATAGCGGCTTTTCCAGTGTTTTTTGTTCCAAAGGACTTTTAATTTAAAAAGAGGAAACTAAATATTCCCAATTACAGTGTCGGAAATTCTATGTTGCACTTTTCTCTCTCATATTTCAGTTTACCTCTCCTCATATTATAAAGCTAGAATTAGCCTGGAGAAATTTTCTATGCAGAAAAATGATAGAAACCAAAAGGTTGAAAAATATCTTTGAATTCTTCTGGCAGAATATTCCTGCTATTTGAAGCCTACATTATCAGTACACCATTGCTACCAAGTAGGTATCCAGCATCTATTTATTTCAGGGACAGGAAACTTACTAGCTATGGGAAAGCAAACAAACAAAAAAAGAGAACAAAACCCTCTCTTCAGCCAGCTATATCATTAGAAAATTCTCCATTATTCAAAATGAGTTATTTTAGTCTGTATCCATAGGTCCTATTTTTGTTCTCTGTGGATATATAGAGCAACCTAATTATTTCTCGTAATTGTTTATAGCAGAAATAAAATATGTGTGTCTATGTGTCTCATAACACAAACTAATACCAATATATACACATGGTTTCCTATTTAGTCTTAATAAAAAGTTCCAGGCCAAATTTCAACTAATCTTTCCATGCACCAGCTAATTGGAAGGGCAGATTTGTTATGGTAATTTTTGGATAACAGACTGTAATAGCAATTCCCTTTTCATCAAGAAAAAAATAGAGCACTCTGCCTATTCAGATGCTATATCCACCAACCTAAATGAATACAAGAAATAAATAAATAAAAATTTTAAAAGACAGAACTGAGACAGAGAACAGTAAGTAGGGCAAATTCATGAATTCATTTATGCCTTTGGCTAAAATACATCCCTCAAATCAGTTTGAAGCTGTTTGCACGGTAGGGTGTTTCACCTACTAATGATTTCACAGCTGGCACGCGCATGGCATCAATGTTTATTGGCATCCTCAATGTCAGTTATTTTTAAAAAGCTTTCTTCCAGGACTCTGAATAAATTATCTATCAAGTGCAGCAGTGCATGGCAACATCCAAGACACAATTTGCAGTCCTGCACCGGCTTCATTATTTGGTGGAAATGAAATCCCAAGTCATTAAACTTTTTAAAAAATGAAGGCAACTTGTATTCAAAATACAAGCAATTGAAAGATTTCCTCGGTCATTCTTTCAGTCCTTAATATGCGTAGTAATGAGCCTGGAAACAGGTTCAATCCCTCAGCAATTGTTTACCTTCCTTTGAAAGACAAAAGTTGTTTTCTGTCAAACACATCACAGAAAAAGTTCAAGCAGGCTAGTTTCATTCTATTCTTCTGGGAATACTCCTGGAAAATTGGCCAGGAAAAAAGACGGCCCAAGCAATGATGATAAGAAATAACATACTCTGAAATTTACAAAGTTATATGTTATAAGTCAACAAACTATATAGGCCGTCTGCTGAATAACTCCGTGATTCATAATTCTATGTCTGAAGATTTTTTTTTCCTTCCTCACATATTGTAAGCTTTAAAAAATATTAAGGAGATGGAAAGAGCTTTACCTTGATCTGGTTATATAGGCCTTATCAATTTCATGCAAAATGGCAATACTTTCTTGACAATGAATTTCTACATATCTGTAGTCTCTCCTGCTGTGTTTACTATGAATTTTGATGATGCTTTATGTAAGCCTCAGAGCTATTTGATGTTGTCATACCTTTAATCCATGAACTGAGATTCATAGTCCATCAAACAACATTTAGTCACAAACCAATATGAAGGCAATGTTATCTAGCACAGCTTGTTTTGCTGTTGGTTTATCAACGCAACAAATAATGATACAGCGTAACATCTTTATAATGTGAATGTTGAGGAAAGCCTTAAACACTTACTTATAAGTTAACCAAGCATACCTGTGATTCCACTCTGCATTAGAGTGGAATCTGTGGAGTTAAAAAAAAAAGTATTCTATTGGCATTATCCAGCAAAGTTTAAATGCAGTTAAACATTTGATTATTGTGGTTATAACATGGTTATTCTCCACTGTAGTTAAGTTCCATGAAGACAGACACTTTTTTCTTCTTCAGTATATTTGCATAATTTAACATGTTCCTGGCATGGTAGATACATAGCCAGCATTTGTTCAGTGAATGAATATATAACTGAAAGTGACTGGCATATTTGGATTCTTCAGTCTTCCTGCATTCAATTGACTCTACTAGAGCAGGGGTTGCATTGAAAATGTGCCTCACAAATAATCACCATATCTTTTTGGTGTTCCAAGTATTGTAATGACAAATTTAATAGAAAAATACTAGCACTGAATGAAATTTAGAGTTAATCCAGGATAAGCTGCTAACCAACACCAGAATACTCTTGATTGTGGAAGGCAGCTTCTAAGATGATCCTAGCCTCCTGATCTTGATGCCTTTTGTAATATCATTCCCTTTAACATTCAAGGGAATGCAAGTACTAGCTTCTAATTTGGCAAATGTGAAAGAATGTCAGTTCTGAGATTAGGATACAGAAAGTCTCTCTCTCTCTCTCTCTCTGTAATCAACCATAGGTGTGATTTCACTGTGCATTACAAATATGTTTTAGACATAATTTAACCTGTGGTATATCTGAACCTGTGGAATAAAAAAAAAAGGCAAGGACTGTTCTCACTGTCAGAGTCCCCTGTCACATTCTGTGCCCCATTTCTCAGACTGGGAAAAACAAATTGCCATGTGTGAAGAGCCCTACGGAGAGCTTCATGTAGCCCTGTGAAGAGGTCCAGGAGCCCTTGAAGAACTGAAGACTGACAACAATCACGTGAGTGAGCTTCGAAGTGAATCATTCAATGCCAACCCAGTCCTAAGAAAACTAACCATCCGTCTGAAAGCTTGGTTACAAATGACAGACTGAGAGTCAGAGCGACCCAAGCTGCCTCGAGATTTCTGACCCACAGCAACCCAGACATAATAAATGTTCGTTGTTCTCAGACACTAAATTTTGAGGTGACTTGTTACATGGACTGCTAATATGCTGAAAGTGTGATTCTTGCTCTCAGTGAATATATAAATCATCGACTATAATTTAACATGTGTATCAATGAGGAATTCATGGATGTAGGAGAGCCCCAATGAAATAAACATCTTCTTAATTTCTTAATTTTAAGTTGAAGTATGCCATCTTATGATATCCATCTATCAATTATCAATAAATAAGACATATCATTCTTCTTACATTATATTTTAATAAGGGAGACAGGCAGTAAGCACATTTAAAAATAAACAAAGTAATTGCCTATTTTATTATATACTAGTAGGGAATGGACAAGGTAAGAGGTTGGGTGTAGGCTAGGTCTGAGGCTCATGCCTGTAATCTCAGCACTCTGGGAGGCTGAGCGTGACTTGAGCACTCTGGGAGGTGTGAGTATGACTTGAGCTCAGGAGGTTAAGGCTGCAGTGAGCTACATACCTTCCAGCCTGGGCAAAAGGATGAGACCCTCTCTCAAAACTAATCAAATACAAATAAATAAATTTTTTTTTAAATGCAGGATGAAATTGGAGAAGGTCTCATTAGATGGTATAGCAAGGAAGGCATCTCTTAGAAGATGATATTTGAACTGGGTTTAAAGAATAAGAATCAGCCAGTCATATGAAGAGCTCTGGGGGAAGATCAGTTGAGACAAACAGAACAATAAGGATGACATCCTGGAGGTGAGAAAAAGCTTGTTAATTTTTGAGGAATACAAATAAAGACAATTAGGTTGAAGCATAATGAGAACTGGAGGAAATGGTTGCTTAGTGATAAAGTACGAAAAGCTGGCAGGGGCCAGGTGTTGCAGGGCTTTGATAGCCAAGTAAAGGGGCTCCCTTTTTCTTCTCTTTTAACACAATTGGAGGCCATTAAAGGTTCTAACCAAGAGGATATCATGACTTACTTAAACTGTCATACTTGGGCCTGCATAGGCCTTGTTAAGACTGTGCCTTAGGTATGTATTTGACTCTCTCAAGTATATCAAGGCCTAGGAGTTAAGGCTAACATGTTATTTCATGGAAATTACTAAATTATTTATTCTCTCCTCTTGCTGGTAGGGAAACTTTTGGCTCTCTTTCTTTAAAGAATTTTCAGTCAAAGGATCCCTCTTATATTCAGAAAGAATGGTAATCTCTTCTCTAGAATCTCTTCTTTTCAACTTGACCCTTGAAAAATCCACGACAATTTCCTAAGTTTAGATCCTGGGCTGAGAACGTACTATTGAAGAAATCATTATAATATCAATAACATAAAACGAGGTATAGGTAACAGACTGAATGCCTCCAATATGCAAGAAGTTCTAATCATGGCATTAGAAAATATCAGTCAACAGCAGTGCAGTGTAGAAGGTGTGCTACATTTATACTATTTCTTGAACATCTCACACCATCTTCTTAGTCTTTGATCAAACATGAGAAAAATACATTAAGGTCATTGTCTCTGGGTATATAGGTTAACTATTGCTGTGTAACAACAACTACAAACATATATAAAATCTCAGTGGCATAAACAATTACACAGATTGGCTGGAGAAGCTCTGCTTCTGGCTGTGGTTCAATTCACCTTTGTTTCAGGCTGTGAGTCAGCTTCATGTATTTTCTTATGGGCCTAAACTTAAGGAATAAAAGCTACTTTGGACATCTACTCATTGCAGAAGTTGGGAACAACAAGCAAGTAAGTAAAACAAATATGTAATACCTGGGCTCATAACTGGTATATGCTGTCTCTTCTGCCCACATACCATTGGCCAAACCAAAGCACAAAACAAAACTCACTATCAGTGAGGGTGAGCACTACACTTTGCCTATGAAGAAGTACGTAGGGAGAAGAGTGATTATTTTTTGAACACTAATATAAGCTACCACACAGTAGGTAACCTATTCCTATCCCTACAACAGAAATACATGGTCATTTTATAAGAACTCTTGGGCTGGATTGAGGTAACATTTCTGACTAAAGCTAAGTTGTAATCTGAAGGGTTTCTGGCCCCCATAGGTATTCTCTTTAGTTGGCCACCTTTCTTTCTTGGCTGTATAGTTCTCTCTGTCCAGCTGATACGTATAGCCATCCAAATAGACCACTTCCTTATGCCTAGTATAGTCTCCATTCTGAAGCCTGTATAGTGTTGATGGCATAGTTTACACATCGATTGTTGACCTAGGTACATCACCTCTAACAATTCTAAACTTAAACAAAATGATCGGCTGGGCACGGTGACTCACACCTGTAATCCCAGCACTTTGGGAGGCAGAGGCAGATGGATCACCTGAGATCACGAGCTCAAGAACAGCCTGACCAACATGGTGAAACCCCGTTTCTACTAAAAATACAAAATTAGCCGGGCATGGTGGTGCATACCTGTAATCCCAGCTACTCGGGAGGCTGAGGCAGCAGAATTGCTTAAATCCAGGAGGCAGAGGTTGCAGTGAGCCGAGATCATGTCATTGCACTCCAGCCTGGGCAACAAGAGCAAAACTCCGTGACACACACACACACACAAACACACACACACAAACACACAAAATTCATGTGATTTAATAATTAGACTTTTTCATAGAAACAAAAAGTGATGTCATCTGGTTTCTACCAAAACAGGAGGCTGAGCATGTGCCATGAGGAGGTTGTAAAAGTGCCTTGGGATCACAGTGTCTCAGGATAGCAGGAAAGGATCCTCTGCTCTTGGGTTAACTTACTACTACATCTCCCTCCAGAAATGTGTGTTTGAGGTTTTGGTGTTGCTTCTGTGAAAATTGTTTTTGTCAGAAGTGAGACAGTGATAATGGTGTATGTACTAATTCTTAAATAACAAACATCTAAAGTACAGATGTCACCCTGACATAAATTAGGCATGCCACATTCTATACATTCATGACTTCAAATTTTTCTGAGACTTTCCTCTACTTTTCAGAGAAATAATATTTGGGGAATTTTAAAATCCAGTCAGAAATGTTTGCCCTTGACATCAAACTTTAGGTCAACCATGAAACTTCTATTTTAAAATCATTATCTAGTAAAAAAGATTATGAAATATTTTCCATAAAAATATATTTTCACATGTAGATAAACTTGTTTGTAAAAAATTAAATTTCAGTTGGTACATTTATTAGAAAGCATGTATTCTATAAGGTTTTAGTAAGCCACTATCATATACTATTAAATGGTCATAGATAAAGCATATAAA
This sequence comes from Homo sapiens, assembly GCF_000001405.40. Classification (NCBI taxonomy): domain Eukaryota; kingdom Metazoa; phylum Chordata; class Mammalia; order Primates; family Hominidae; genus Homo; species Homo sapiens. Next base: position 80,758,472 of record NC_000003.12, read on the forward strand.
TATGAGACAATGCTTTTCAAACTTCTGTGTTAACATTATTTGTCTAAAATTTTTTATGGTGTGAGATAACTAAATTACATTGAAAATTTATATATGTGTTTCTGAATATTGTTTCAAAAACAATTTTTAAAAATATTTAATATATGGAAAATAATCTACCCATAGTGTTCATAGAAGTGTTCATGGTAAGACTTTATAATACAGCATAATTTTATTTCTCTATCAGTTTCTTTACATAATTTACCTTCAACATGCCTACATAAAGTCAATTTTTCAAGTATTTTACAATTTCTATGGTCAATAATTTAGTTTTCGAAATTGTAAAAGTGAATTATAAGGGAAATTGGTATACAATCATGTATTTGAAATGGCATCATTGTCTGGGGTAAATACCCAGGGCATTCATTGGCTCATGCCAAGAAGACTAAGGATAAGAAGATTAGGGAGGTTTAATAGGCAAAAGAAAGAGAAAGGAGAAGAGCTCTCTCTCTTACAGGAGAGAGGGGGTTCCCAAAAGGGAAATCTGTCCCAGAGTAGGAGTGCACCAGATTTTATAGGTAGGCTTGAGGAGGCAGTGTCTGATTTACATAGGGCCCATGGATTGGTTGGACCAGGTGTAATGTTTACATAATGTCCTAGAATTTCTTCTACATTCCTGTTTGTTCTCTTTAATTTATTTACTCCATTATCTTTTACCTCTGTTACATCCATTCAACAGGAGAACTCCCATAGAATGAATTCTCAGTTTTCTTTTATTTTTTGTGCATGAGAAATACAAACTAATACTCCAACCCACCTATTTCTGTGAATTACTTTCATTACTATATGCCCAGCCTTCCATTTTACCATTACTTCTGCATTTCTCATTGAAATTTCTGTTATAAGTATACTGAAAAGTTGTTCTAGCTCTCTCACTCGTTTCTCTCTCCCTCTCTCTAACACACACACACAGACACACACACACAGACACACACACACACACACCATTGCCATCGCCAAATTTCTGTCTGTTAATAGCCCCACCACCTTTGTTATTAGATTTAAAATCTTCTGATCACTTTCACTGTCTCTCTCTATCGTTCATCACATCTCTCTATTGCTCATTTCTGAAAGTTCACAGAATATCTTTCCTTTCCATCCCTATGATTACATTAATTTAGAAATTCAGTAATTTTCCATTCAGCTTATTACAATATATTGACAAGTATCTGTCTTTCTGTAGCCTCTCCTGCCTCTGGGATATCTTAACATACTAGTCTTTTACAAAGCATATCTGTGAACACGTTACTTTCTTGCTTAACAGCCTTCCTTTGTTCTCTGTGGACTGTGGAATAAAAGTCAAACTCCCTAGGACAGCTTTGAAAATTACCCCCCATTGAATCCTGATTTATCTAGCCAACAATTTTCCATTTTTAACCTTCTATCTTTGCTCTATGAGCTATGTAAACTATGTCTGATTTTACCTCCACTGTATCAAAATTTACTGTTTTGCTTATTCAAGCCTATCTGCCACAATTCTTCATTAATTTCCATCTGTCCAATTCTTCATATGTTAATGCCCAGCTAACACGACACTTCTTTTACTTATGCACTCCATGGAGCTTCTCTGCAATTTATTGTAATATATTTATTAAGTAATGCATTGCTTATTATCTTTCATTAGGTCACATGCTATTTTAGGCTTTCATCTTCGTGAATATCTAATATATTAAAATAAAGTTTTTCAATGAGTGAATTAACAACATTTTCAAACTTAAAGTTCAAAATGAACTTTTCAAAATTGAAATAAAATAATATTCTGGAAGGATGTTTGATAAAATAAAAAACTATCAATATGTTGATATTATCTTGCTCTTATAATTTTAAAATGTATTGTTATTCTAAGTAAGATTATAATTTTACTTCCTTGTCAATTTTTTGTCCAAATACAAACAGGGACTATGTGAAATTGTCCATCAGAGAAAATAAGCTCCTCCATGTTCTCATACTTTCAAGGAATCCGTCTTCCTGAGAAGACGTGATTGCTTCTTACAAACGTTTTTGGTAAAGTATGATATAATCTAATCTTCATTTTTAAAAAGTATTCTTGGGATATAATTCACAAAACATACAATTCACTTAATTAGAATTTAATGGTGTTTAGCATATTCACACGTATGGGCATCCATCACAATGGTCAATTTTAGAAAATTTTCATCATTTCAAGAATAAATGCTGTACCATTTGGCTATTATGCCATATCCCCCTCCTGTCCTGCCACAAGCAACCACTAACCTACTTCCTTCTTTATAGATTTGCATACTCAAGATGTTTTATAGTAATGCAGTACTGTAATAATGGACTGGAATCTTTGACTCAGCATATCAATACTTCATATCTTTTTATTACCAAATAAGGTTTCTTTGTATAGATATAGAAATATAAGATATACCAAATATAAAAATTTGGTAATTTTTTATTTATTCACTTAACACTTGATGGACACCAACTGTTATTTCTATTAGAGATCCAGAGAAAAAAGGGATAGTAGGAACAATGATATGTAAATGTTTGAATGTTAGTATTTTTGATTACGTTTTATTTACTTTCATATTTTATATGCATGCTTTAAGAGTCTTTGACACCAGGAAGAGAAGAACAAACAGACATGCCAGTTTCACCTTCAATAGCTGATAGTTGTTGAAATAATTTTACATGGTTGAAGAGAGACGGGAGCTGAATATATTTGATGTTTCTGAAAAGTGGAGAAACAGCAGAGAGATTCAGAATAAAGAGGCATTAATTATTCATGTACCAATGCTTCTTCATTTTACAAAAAGGAAAGTTGTCAGGCCAGGCATGATGGCTCACGTCTGTAATCCCAACATTTTGGGATGCCGAGGCGGGAGGAGCACCTGAGTCCAGGTGTTAAAGACCAGCTTTGGCAACACGGCGACGCCCCCGTCTCTACAAAAATAAAAAATTACCTGGGCGTGGTGGCGCGTACCTGTAGTCCCAGTACTAGGCAGGCTGAGGTGGCAGGATTGCTTAAGCCCTCAAGGTCAAGGCTACAGTAAGCCATGATTGTTCCACTGCATTCAGCCTGGGTCACTGAGTGAGACCCTATCAAAAAAAAAAAAAAAAGAAAAAGAAAAAAAGAAAAAAAAAGTTGTCAGTAGCTCACCACTTTTTAAAGAGTTCCTTTATAGCTTGATAAGAATAATGAGTAAATACCAATAGAGCACTCTCTCTACTAAAGGATTACATTGATTCATTGTATTAGGCTAAGTCATATAAAATTGCTCTTTTTACAGGTGAAATATATTGTCTAATACGGTTAAACTTACTAGAAATGTCTAGAATGCACTGGTAGAAAGAAGTTTTTCTTCATTTACTTTTTTAAATGTGGTAGTTAGTAAAGGAAAGATAAAGAAAAGGTAGACAACAAAGGAATATGTCGGTACTACTGTCATAATAAACAAATATCACATCAAACCACATTAGAAATTTTTAAAGTATCTTTTTCTTCATACCATTTTTGAAAGAATTTATAGCCATAACTTTTTTAGTGGGCATTCACCCTTCATAGAACTAAATTCTGCTCATCTCTCCAAAACCCTTGAATGCATAAACCAAAATTGGTCTCTTTATAGGCTGGCTAGTAACTTATGACTTGGTTTAAATCAGGTGACACTGAGCAAACAAATTCACTAATGAGAATTGGAAATAAAAGAAATAAAGCAATGCGGAAGAACAGACAAGAAGAAAGTAACTCATACTTACAGATCCACTGCTGTTCCTGTTAGATAAAGCCTATTTCACCATCTGGATTCCCATAGAAAGTTTACGTATCCATAAATCAAATCTACATTATCCTGATTGGTTTCTCTTTAGATATATCTGAAAGTACCCTCACCACAAGATGGCTTATAAAGTAGGAGAAAAATCTCACCCATCTTAACAGTTTGTCAAATTTAAAACTAAAGAAAAACAATCTCTGCTTTCAGTTGTGCATGTCCTAGCCAAATGAATTCAGTCACTCTTATTTAGATGTTTATTTTAAAAACTTAGCATCGGTTTCTTTAGAAAGATGCCTTACACAGAAAGGTTATAATTTCATCATTTCTTCTGTGTATGACATTTTTAAAGTGATAATATTAGAACAATAGAGGGGTCATACTTGAAGGAAATTCATTAAATGTGACATTTACAAACTGTCACTTTTATTTTATCAGATGAATAAATAATGGTGTCATGTATTAAAAAAGTAATTAATTTTTTTCACATTTAACATATAGATTGACAGCTGTATATACATCTACTATAAGATAAACATCACTAGGGCAGAATGCTGTTCGAGATATATCAGCAGGCATATACAATACTCAATATGACCAAATGAAGGAAAAAACCAGACGTATGCATATTATAGGTATTGCCATAACATTTTTTCTGGTAATGCACGGACAAAGAGTTTCCAGACTATTGATATATGATATAGAGCTCATGGTACATATTCTTTATTACAAAGTTATTTGAAAAATAAAAAACAAACAGTTCTACTAGCAAAGATAAAATCTCTTAGAAATGGTAAACAAAAAAGATTTATTGTCATTGTATGATAAATCTTAAGAGAAAACCTTAAATTATTTTTTTGTTCAGAGACTCTTTGTGTTCTTTCTAATAGCTGTAAAACACTAGGAAGTTTTCACTGTAATAGCAATCAATGTGGAAAAAAAAAGAACGTATACTGCATTTGATTTAGAAACAGATCATTATTCTTCATGTTGCGTTGTATCACACAAGCTTTCTGTATAATTCATAGCCAAAATTATTATGTTGTAGAGTTACTGGTGCTTTTCAACTTACTATGCTTTAATGCTTACTTTATAAACATGAAATTAAAAAATTATATATCAATTTTTTGCCATTTCTTTTCTGTTCGAAGTCATTCTTTTTGTCAGCACATACAGAATAGATTACTATGTTAAAGTACTAAAAGGTGGACCTACTGCTGGAAAACAAGAGCAAAGGGGATGGATATTAAATATTTTTTAAAAACAGTATTTTTTTAAAAAAAGATAAGTTTACAAAATTTAAAAAATATCGACAAAGAAACATTTAAAAAATCAACTCAGTGAGAGATATTGTCAACCTTTTGATATGCAATTTTAAAATATTTTATGTGTATGTATAATTATGTGAATACACACACAAATATATACACACACAGAAACACACACTCATATATTAAAAAGTGTGGGATTACCATGTACATTTGGCTTAATGACTAGCTTTAATAAGCATTTCTGCAGATTACCCAATATTCTAACATATAATTTGTGGAATGCTTCTGATTAATATATATTTAAAAATTAATTCTTTGTAATCAATGTTTAAAGTGTTTCATATTAATCACTGTTGTAGCAATATGTAAACATGTGGTGTTTGTTTTTTTTGTCCTTGCGATAGTTTGCTGAGAATGATGGTTTCCAGCTTCATCCATGTCCCTGCAAAGGACATGAACTCATCCTTTTTTATGGCTGCATAGTATTCCATGGTGTGTATGTGCCACATTTTCTTTATCCAGTCTATCATTGATGGGCATTTGGGTTGGTTCCAAGTCTTTGCTATTAGGAACAGTGCCACAGTAAACATACATGTGCATGTGTCTTTATATTAGCATGCTTTATAATCCTTTGGGTACATACCCAGTAATGGGATTGCTGGGTCAAATGGTATTTCTGGTTCTAGATCCTTGAGGAATCACCACAACGTCTTCCACAATGGTTGAACTAATTTACACCCACCAACAGTGTAAAAGCATGCTATTTCTTCAATACTTCTCCAGCACCTGTTGTTTCCTGACTTTTTAATGATCGCCTTTCTAACTGTCATGAGATGGTATTTGATTGTGGTTTTGATTTGCTTTTCTCTAATGACCAGTGATGATGAGCTCTTTTTCATATGTTTGTTCACCACATAAAACTCTTCTTTTGAGAAGCGTCTGTTTATATCTTTCACCCACTTTTTGAGGGGTTTTTTTTTTCTTGTAAATTTGTTTAAGTTTTTTGCAGATTCTGGATATTAGCCCTTTGTGAGATAGATAGATTGTAAAAATTTTCTCCCATTCTATAGGTTGCCTGTTCACTCTGATGATAGCTTCTTTTGCTGTGCAGAAGCTCTTTAGTTTAATTAGATCCCATTTGTCAATTTTGGCTTTCGTTGCCATTGCTTTTGGTGTTTTAGTCATGAAGTCTTTACCCATTCCTATGCCCTGAATGGTATTGCCTAGGTTTTCTTTAGCTTTCTGTGGCAGAGTCCAGGTTTTTTATGGCCTCAGAATGGGGGAGTGTGTGCTGATTGGTCCATGGGCAGGCCTGAACAAAAGCACCATTTGATTGGCTAAAAGGCACTGAGAAAGTTCTCACTCTGGTCATGAACTCCACCCAGAACTGGCCGCTCAGTTTTCAGGTTTTAAACTGCCGTTGACTTGAAGGTTGAGTTTCACTGGGGACCTACCTCTATCTGCCTAGTAATCTGTGTCTCCTGTAGCTATCATCATCACTGATTTTCTACGTACAGATTTCAATTCCAAACAAAAATATATGAGAACGTTCATTTCTCCATACAACTGGTAAGAGAAAACATTAGTTTTTTTGTTTTTCAATGGCAAAACAATTAAGCATTGCTTTTATTTTAATTTTCAAATACTAGTAAGATCATATATTTCACCCTGTTATTTATTGTGCAATTTTGCTCAGTTTTAGAGTGTTAATTTTATATATTTTATTCATTAAATCTTTTTTTAAGAAATATATCAGTAATTCGCCTATCATATATATTTAAAACTATTTTAACCGTATGTTTCTCTCTCTTTTCTGCTGTACAAAAGTTTTGAAATTCATATAATCAAATATGCCACATTATTTTTCATGGGGCTTACATATGGAATCATACTTACAAAAGCCTTTATTTCAGAATTATGTAAGTAATTATCCATAAATCTTTAAGCAATTTTACTGTTTCATATGTTATAATAAAGTGCTAATGCTTTGAAAACTTAATTTGATTCATTGGTTAAAATCAGGAGCTGATTTCATCTGCATTCAAAAACATCATATTCAATACTGTTTTGTTTCTCACTCAAATACATTTTATTATTCTTTCCTGATTCATTTGAAATTTCAACTCTATTTGTGGTCTCAACTATATAAGAATATATATAGTTTCTGGCATTAATACACTGTTGCACTTATCTTACTATCTTTTCCTGTATCTACAGTATATTTTAATTTATACAGTTATAATTTAGGATATTTTTGAATGATTACCTAACATGCAACATAAGAAAGATTTAATTTTCATCTAATTTTCTCATCTCTCCTTTTTCTTTCACCATTGTGAAAGTGAGAGGCTGAAGTTGAAAAGACTTAGGTGGATTAGATTAAGATCTCTCTTTGTGAGTATGCATGTGTGTGTGTTTGTATGTTGCAGTAGTAGCAGTAGTAGTAGTAGTTTTACTGAATCACTATGATAAAGCTTCTAAATACCTCACCATTCCATCTAAAATTGTACTATGTTCCAAGTGCTCTTACTCATTTAAAGATTTTTTTATTTGGAATTATGAAGTTCATGCGTAGTGAACTTCATAAAAACACTAGAGCCTTCAAGGAGACAAAATTTTGCTTTCCATTTACAGTTTCCAATAGTACTTGGCTAAAAATTACTACATCAGATGCTACTGAGTTTTGGACATAATTTTAAAAGCATTTAAAATTCATTAAGAGCAATAAAAGCAAATATATATTTCATATACATATATATATCTCCATACTTCTTTTTCTACATCAGAATTATTTCTCCCAGAGACAGATGTATAAATAAATAAAATTATTAATTATTAATTTAATTATAAATTAGTAATTTATAATAAATTATATTACTTTATTATAAATTAATAAATTATAAATAAAATATAAAGGTTGGGGTACTGGACAAATTAGTTTGGTAAAAACATACCTAGAGTTATATACATAGAATTTGCAGTCAAATTAGCAGCTAGTACTGTTAAAAAATAACTATTTTGAGAGTAAAAATAATTAAGGAATCTGAGTAAAATACAGAGTAGAACCTACAGATATTTTGACCAAATAAATGACTAGATGCATAGCTATTTATAAAATAATCTGTAAAATCAGAGTTAAAATTTTAGATTCTTACACCAGTAAATATAGTGAAAGTGCTAGCTTTGTAATCTCATACATAAACAAAAAGAAAAACCTCAGATAATTTGTATTTGGCTCTTAGTTGTGGTTTTTGTTTTGGCATATTTAAAATGAATATTTCTAGTGCTCTGAATAGGCACTTCCAATATAATAAAGAAGGACTAAAAAGAGATAACTCATTAGACATTAGAAATGTACCTATTCTGTCCTTACTCCTGCTCACCATCTCAATTTGTCTAACCGCATTATGAGAAAGAATGTTTATCACCTAAATAAAGGCAAAGTTCTTAATACAGCTAAATTGCATTATCTCCAAATTTTCATTAAAATGTTTAAGAGCTGCCAACTGGGATAAAACAGTAGAGAAATTTAAAAAGAAAAAAAAAGATTGGGGGAGGTAAAGAGTAAAATGCGTATCAAATAAGTAATTTTGCACAGACTGTATTAGTTCATTATATGAAAATCAACAGGCCTTTTATCTGCAAGGTGTATCCTTAGAAAACTGATTCAACTTTATTTACGTATCTAATTGTAGACTAAATAGGCACACCTATTTAAAACAATCAGTGAAATACTAAATAAATATTTCAGACCCAGATTTTTCAAAGCATGCAACCAGGAGAAAATAAAAAGCCAAAATGAGTAATGATCAATGTGGTATCAGAATAAAGTGTACAGGCATAACTTCTTTCCACATATGATAAAATAATTTCAAAGAATCACTTTGAAAAATGTAGGTAGCATTTGATTATTCTGCAGGCTGCAAACACTGACTAGAATTTACCCAGATATTTATTCAACAGCCTATGGTTTGTGCACTAATCTGTGAAATTTCATATTGAGTTTGCAGTTTTGTTAACTTCATGTGTCTTTTTTATTTTTATAAAGTCCATCCAGCCAAGGAAAACTACAGCTGATGAAGGGAAAGTCGGTGTGATAGTAACACCTTTGCACATATCCACATTTTAAGGGGTGAAAAAGTTCGTCATGAAAATAGTAAAACTTCATTCCCATTACCTCTGAAGAAAATTATTTCAGAAGCATTAAAAAAATCATGCTGGTTTCTTTTCCTGAAGTGATCTGAAAATTTAAAAACATCAACAGAGGGCACTAACAGGCTGTTCTGGAAAGCCTTTCATTTCATTGCCTGTAACAATGAAACCTAGCTGGAAAGGCAGTGTTTTTTAGCTGCGTGTAGTTGCAGACGTGACATTGGGACAAAAAAATACAAATTAAAATCATATGTACTGTCTTTGGGCAGAAAGATAAATTCATAAACTTAACTCATTAAAATATCACTTGCTTTCTCTATATCAAACTCTCTCTAACTGTATATATTCTCTAACACACCTAATTTTTCTGCCTGTTGTTTCAAATATAATTTATTTCAAGCTCTAGACCTCATTGCATATCACTAAACTCAACCCAAGAGAATATTTAGTCATGCAGTCAACTCTGGGTGATCTCCATTGTTGGAGGTATATAGGAATAGTCCCCCAAAAAGTACTCTCTACAAATAATAATTGTTCTTGGCATCCTTTTCCTATATTTTGCTTTTGGGGTCATTTCTCATATTCAGCCAAATAAGATCAAAGAAAAAAATCTATGGTAATACTCAAACAATTAGTAAAGGCAATACAGAAATGGTTTAAACATTTTGGAATAGGAGCAAACTAATGATAGATTACTCTACAGGATGTAATTTCAGGAGCTTTGAGTAAGGCTCACTTTTTCTTAACAAAAGCAACCATCAAACAGCTCAGTCATGTCCTATATTCTGTCAGCATAGTTTTCTTCTATTACCTGAAAATTATATATTTAAGTAAATATTAATGGAAGAAACAATGCACTTTATCATTTACTTTTACCCATCTCCACCTAAGTTTATCTCATCCCTTCTAAACAGCAGTAGCCTATGTTAAGGAAAGAATACTGTATAGAAAATTCTTAAGTGCCTTATGAAGGAAGGGGTGGAGGTGGAAAGGAAAGATCATTTATGAAGAAAAAATTTGGTTCGATAAGAGGCATGAGGCTGTATACAATCTTTTAATACTAGTTATCTTTACTTAAGGCAGGTCCTGGAGATAAGAAACAGAAATAAAATATTTTATAGCAGGTATCCTAATTAGAAAATCCTTAGCATTTATTAAACAGAAATATAGTATGTACTTATGATGCACTCACAATAAGATCCGGACTACAATAATAAAAAAGACAGGGTTCATGTCAATAATTAGCTCAGATTTTATTCACTGACACAGCCATTCAAACAAATAATAATAATCATATTATGTATGGTGAATGTAATGAAGCACAGAATAAGAAGTGATTAATGCTGCCTGGGAGCACTAAGGATTTTTAAAGAGAAAGTTATATTTGAAATTAGAGATTGGAGGATATGTAGGAGAACAGCACATAAAACATTGAGGTTCACACTGAGAATAGGAGAAAGAATCTGTTTTGCCAGCCATGTCATAGGACTTATAATTTTTAAGAAACAGATAATTGGTTTTGGGGTGCTGTGGGAAGAAAGGCTGAAAAATAATTTAAATATTGTGATAGTTGGTTTTTATCCTGTGGATGATAAACAGCAAATAACAGAATAGAGAGGTTAGCAACAAGAAAACTAGATACGGAGCTGGTGAAACAGTACCCACTGAAGATAATACAGGTCTGGAAAAAAATGAGTGTCAGCCATAATAGAAACATGTATGTGGTGTGAATCTAATGCAAATGTTTTCACTTTTCTGTAAATTTCTGAATATCTGGTAGAACAGACCTAGCAACAACTTATTTACATGGGAAATTAGGTAGCTCCTGAGAAATATATAGGCCATGTTAATTATTGGGATTCAAAGTTATATGATAATGTCTGATGAACTGGTAAGACAAGATTAAAAACAATTTATATACAGGGAGGTATAAGTGTCTCAACAACAACAACAAATCCATTCTAGAAGAAGGAAGTGACAATACCCAATCCTTAGCTATTCCCCAAACGAAACACAATTTGGTTCATATTTGAATTCAACGAAGTAAAGCTACTGGTCTTGGTGGTAAAACAGAAAAAGTTCTCTTACCCTCCTCGCAGGGCGTACGATGGAGGTGTGGCTCGCTTCTTCAGTGCCCCACTGGTCAAGACCCTTAGCCAGAGCAGGCAAACAGGCAAGTCATGGGGACCATGGGCGCGGACCCATGCAGCCTCTCGGGGTGAATGTTTACACCTCCTGAGGCCCCAGTGGGCGTGTGTTACAGGATGCTTTTTCAGCTTAGCTGTCCGCAGGTGGCTTGTGTTAATCAGCTCAATTAGACCCTCTGCCTTATCACAAGGACAGACGGCTTTCTGTATCCCAGGTTCTTGCTTTAGTGCACGGGAAAAATTGGATCACATGTGGGCTTGGAGATCGAGTGCTAGGTTTTTTATTGAGTTGTGGTAGCTCTCAGCGAGGTGGATGGGGAGATCAGAAGGGGAATGGAGTGGGAAGGTGGTTTTCCCCTATAGTGGGGCTGCCCAGCAGCCAAATTCTTCTCTGACCTCCCAGGCCAAACTCCACGTCGTTCCGCTGGTCGACACCAGTGCCTGTCGCTGTGCTCTTCCGCTCCTCTCGACATCCAGCTGCCTGTGTGCTCTTCTACCAGTGTGTTCCTCTCACTGTCCCGCAGCTCGTGTGTTCTTTCTCCGGTGCGCTCCTCTCAACGTACGTGCGCTCCTCTCAACGTACGTGCGCTCCTCTCAACGTACGTGCGCTCCTCTCAACGTACGTGCGCTCCTCTCAACGTACGTGCGCTCCTCTCAACGTACGTGCGCTCCTCTCAACGTACGTGCGCTCCTCTCAACGTACGTGCGCTCCTCTCAACGTACGTGCGCTCCTCTCAACGTACGTGCGCTCCTCTCAACGTACGTGCGCTCCTCTCAACGTACGTGCGCTCCTCTCAACGTGCGCTCCTCTTAACGTGCGTCTGCACAGCTGCTTGTGTGGCACAGCTGCTTGTGTGTTCTTCCGCCAATGTGTGCAACTGCTTGTGTGTTCTTCCGCCAATGTGTTCCTCTCGACGTCCAGCCACTTCTGTGCCTGCCTGCCTGTCTTGGGGTTTTTACAGGCACAGGATAGGGGACGTGGCAGGCCAGGTGGTCTTGGAAAATGCAAACTTGGGCATGAAAACAGGAGCGCTTGTCCTCCCCTATATGCGTGTGCACAGGACCTGAGGTGAAGCCCTAGCCAGGGACCTGCCCTTCTCTACCCAGCGCTTTCCTTCTCTCATCCCGAGTCAGTACTGTGAGTATTAGAAAACAAAAATTTGTTTTGTTTAAAACTCTATAAAATAACAATATTACAGTCTCTATTAAAGCAGTGCAAAGTATTCTCTTCTGTTTGTCATTGGACACAGTCCATTTTTAGCAGGCTGGAGGATTTTAGTGCATTGATATTTGTTCCTGCAGAAAGTAATGGCATATCGCAAGAAGCTATTACCCAGTATGAACCGCCGTGCTCTGGAGTCCACAGTGGCTGCAGCCTGGAAAGTTTCTTGTAGCCACAGGACATCTGGTGTATCTCATAGCATACAGCTCCACCCATCAGACTTCCGGTGGGGAGGGGTGTGGGTGCCCAGCATGAGGAAATGCTCACTAGTTCTTACGTTTCACTTAAAAATGATACGTGCCATATTAAGTCACATTTCACTGGCTCCAGGAAGTCACTCTGCTGCCCCTGACTTCAAGATAGTTGAGAAGTGAGATCCAATCCTGTGTCCAGAAGTGAACATTTGAAAACAGTGTTGCTGCCGATTTCAGGTATTATTAATATAGAGATCACAAATGAGGGATCACCTTTGATGAGGCTAGAAAGCAACTGATGTTTATACTCTCCCTCATTCAATTTTTGTTTTCAATTTCAAGCAATTTGCTCCAATGTGTCTAAAGTTAAGGCTGGCTGTCTCCAGAGATTCTCTAAATATTTTTCCTAGTTTTGAGTAATTGTCTGAGATTTATTTAAAAACCTATCTAAATTCAATATCAGCTTCAGAACCATACCACACTGAGAATCACATTACGAATTAGAGAGAGAGATCTGTGTTCACTCACTACCTTCTACAATTTTTAAGTAGTTACGTGGCCTTTGGTAGTGTAGTTAATGGATCTGAGACCAGTTTTCCTGAACTCTAAAATGAATACAATTTCAGTCATTTGTGTTGAACTGAAGTTAAAATTAAAATAAATAAGTAAAGCACTTAGTATGTTTCAGTGCCCAATAAATGCTTCTTCACATTCCTTACCTCCATTTATAAATACATATAATCCCTTTAGCTATACCAATCTTAGATTGAATAGAATATGAATTGGCATAGATAGTAGTGTTTCTATAACTACCTTGTCACAAAGTAAACTGTTTTGTTTAAGCTTTATTTTCTATCTTCTGTTGTCTCTTTGCCAAATTAACATAAAACAACTTCTTATTTATGTTACCTAAAGTATAATATTAAAATGGATTATACCTAGAATTTGACAAATGTTTCTTACTCAGCTTGATAAGCATCACTAAGTTTTTATGAAATTATATAGATATGTCCATATATGTATGTGTAAATACAGTATACCCTCATATGTGTATAGATATGTTCCTTAATAATAGAATGAATAATTATTGAGAGGGCAACAACATGTTGCTACCAATAACTACAAAAAACTCTTTGAAAATTCAGTAGGAATTAGTCATCGTATCTGTCCCTATGACCCAGTAATGATTATTAAAGTGATTAAATACATTTTAAAAGCCTTATTTTAGGCCGGGTGCGGTGGCTCACGCCTGTAATCCCAGCACTTTGGGAGGCTGAGGTGGGTGGATCATGAGGTCAGGAGTACAAGACCAGCCTGGCCAAGATGGTGAAACCCTGTCTTTACTAAAAATACAAAAATTAGCTGGGCGTGGTGGTGGGTGCCTGTAGTCCCAGCTACTCAGGAGGCTGAGGCAGGGAATTGCTTGAACCTAGGAGGCAGAGTTTGCAGTGAGCCGAGATCACGCCACTGTACTCCAGCCTGGGCAACAGAGCGAGACTCTGTCTCAAAAAAATAAATACATAAATAAATTTTTAAAAGCCTTATTTTAAACGTGAAAAATTTGTATGTGCATTAGGCAAAGGGATATAATGCTCAGTATTAAACTTCATTTTGTGTTTTATTCTTACATTTCAGTTATAGGCTGCTGATTATTTGCATAGAGTATTTCCATTTGATTAAGCCTCCAGATTTTTCTTTCATTTTAAATCAATGTTTTATGTGTAAACACATTATCAAAGAGTTACGTTTTCCCATAAAACTTTCATCCTTGAATCTAGGATTTATTTCACATTTTTTCGATATTTCACACTTTTCAGACTCTTTCTGTATTTTTGCCACTCTCTCAGTTTTATATACTATGAACTTTCAATTAATTTACTAAATAAATATATACATGCCTAAGCATATACATATTTCTAACCAAAGCTCAGATTATTTCTGTCATTTGTCAATACTTGAATATTTGAAGAGTGGTTTTCTTTTTTTTATTATTATCATACTTTAAGTTTTAGGGTACATGTGCACAACGTGCAAGTTAGTTACATATGTATACATGTGTCATGTTGGTGTGCTGCACCCATCAACTCATCATTTAACATTAGGTAATCTCCTAATGCTATCCCTCCCCTCTCCGCCCACCCCACAACAGGCCCCCATGTGTGTTGTTCCCCTTCCTGTTCCATGTGTTCTCATTGTTCAATTCCCACCTATGAGTGAGAACATGTCCTGTTCGGTTTTTTGTCCTTAAGCGATAGTTTGCTGAGAATGATGGTTTCCAGCTTCATCCATGTCCCTACAAAGGACATGAACTCATCATTTTTTATGGCTGCATAGTATTCCATGGTGTATATGTGCCACATTTTCTTAATCCAGTCTATCATTGATGGGCATTTGGGTTGGTTCCAAGTCTTTGCTATTGTGAATAGTGCCACAATAAACATACGTGTGCATGTGTCTTTATAGCAGCATGATTTATAATCCTTTGGGTATATACCCAGTAATGGGATGGCTGGGTCAAATGGTATTTCTAGTTCAAGATCCCTGAGGAATCACCACACCAACTTCCACAATGGTTGAACTAGTTTACAGTCCCACCAACAGTGTAAAAGTGTTCCTATTTCTCCACATCCTCTCCAGCACCTGTTGTTTCTTGACTTTTTAATGATTGCCATTCTAACTGGTGTGAGATGGTATCTCATTGTGATTTTGATTTGCATTTCTCTGATGGCCAGTGATGATGAGCATTTTTTCATGTGTCTTTTGGCTGCATAAATGTCTTCTTTTGAGAAGTGTCTGTTCATATCCTTTTGCCCACTTTTTGATGGGGCTGTTTGTTTTTTTCTTGTAGATTTGTTTGAGTTCATTGTAGATTCTGGATATTAGCCCTTTGTCAGATGAGTAGATTGCAAAAATTTTCTCCCATTCTGTAGGTTGCCTGTTCACTAAAGAGTGGTTTTCAAGTGATAATCAAATACCTGCATATTTGATTATATTACATTGCTTCTGTTTTTCAGGAGAACCCTGCCTAATACAGCACATTATACAATTACAATAGAAATTAAGACAACATAAAATGTTATAAAATAAAAATATTTTAGACATTGATCACTGTAACTCTTTTGTTACTTAGCCATATTGTTATTTAGGTGGAAATGAAATTCTTGAATAATATTTTAACTGCTATTAGTATTCATAGGGTAACCAAATCTGGTCCAACTGTATATGTTCCCTAGCTCATTTCATTCATTTATAGATGATGTGGTTCACATAGAGAAAGTTACTTCCTCAAGATTACAGATTTGAAAGCAATATCAACTTACTTTATTTAAATGAATCTCTCCATTCATATAAACCAGGGACCAAGAAAGTCAAAATTATCTTTATATGAATTATATTCCAGGCATAATTATAAGTCATATTTTAAAAGTAGTATAAAAAAAACCACATATTATTCAGGCCAGGCATGATGGCTCACGTCTGTAATCCCAGTACTTTTGGAGGCTGAGGTGGGTGGATTACCTGAGGTCAGGAGTTCGAGACCAGCCTGGCCAACATGGTGAAACCCCGTCTCTACTAAAAATACAAAAATTAGCCGGGTGTGGTGGCACACGCCTATAATCCCAGCTACTTGGGAGCCTGAGGCAGGACAATTGCTTGAGCCCTGGAGGCGGAGGTTGCAGTGAGCCAAGATGGTGCCACTGCACTCCAGCCTCAAAACAAACAAACAAACAAACAAAAAACATATTCAATTGTAATCTGGAAATATAAAATTTATTAGAAGGGATTAAATTGATATTTTACAGAGAGTCTTATAAGAAATAGTCTCTGAGAATTAGTGTTAAATGTTCTATGTTAGAAGAATACCAGTGGAATAATGAGGTGTGAATAATTGATAACTTACACAGCTTGGTAAAAGTCTCTGCATTTCTGTCTCAGAAAGACTCAGTATTGATCTTGAGAAATAATATTTGCCCAAAAATTAACACATAGTGTGTCACAAACTATAAGAAAAAATTATACATATTCCATAGTTCAAATATTTCCTTCAAAACACAAAAGCAATTGTGTAATCTTCCAAAGAATTTTCAGAGAAGATATATTGTCAAAATGAAAAGGATGGGTTAAAAAATTTACTCATTCTGTCCGGGCACGATGGCTCACACCTGTAATCCCAGCACTTTGGGGGGCCGAGGTGGGCAGATCATGAGGTCAAGAGATCAAGACTATCCTGGCCAACAGTAACCCGTCTGTACTAAAAATATAAAAATTAGCTGGTCGTGGTGGTGCGCACCTGTAGTGCCAGCCACTTGGGAGGCTGAGGCAGGAGAATCGCTTGAACCTGGGAGGCAGAGGTTGCAGTGAGCCAAGATCGTGCCACTGCACTCCAGCCTGGCGACAGAGCTGGACTCAGTCTCAAAAAAAAAAAAAAAAAAAAAAAAAGAAAGAAAAAATTTACTCATCCTGTTTTTGTGAGTATATCCTCTTTTAAATACATCTTAATACAGACGGAGCTATTATACAGACACTCAGAGGAAATAGAGCCATAAAATCTATGAATCTTGAAATCAAGGCATAAAGCCACAAGAAAAATCATTGTATTTTAAATCACAGATGTTTCACATCTTTGAAAAATAAATTTAAATTATGAACTTTAATGAAGAGTAACCATATATGAACTATTCATTATATAAAACATGATTCATAAAAACCAGTATAATCTTGAAATATAGACATTAAATCCCATGAGTATAATATAAGATACTTTGTTTTCCAGAAAGCATAAATTAGAGGCACAATTTAGCAGCTTCCTGAGACATTAATAGGAGTACCAAGATTTTATGATCAGGAGCACATTATGAAAAATGATGTCAAAAAAATAATATTTGAAAACTGTGAGGGAATCCACAGTAAATTTGAATATTTAATGTGAGAAAAAAATACCTGCAATGTTTTAATGTAACTTCCACATTGTAGAGAAATTTCATAGTAGTGTTGTACAAAACAAACCAGAAAATTGTACTGGATTTCTATTTTCTAACCTCTTTCTTGAAAACCATAAAAACAGGTGGCATTTAAGAAGATATATCCACCATTGTGCTATTAATTTTACAGTCAATCAAGTGACAGGATTACCAAAAAGACTATTTTTATAATGACTCTTTAGTCCAGAGCTACCCATAGAACTTTCAGGAATGAAATTTCCAAATGCTGCTTAGATTGTCTATGTAATACCATGACTGATATTCTTAAACAAATGATCTACAGTCTTACTCTTCAGATTGATGACTTCTATATTTGGAATTGTTCAGCTTTAAATATGTTTAATAAATCCCACATGAATTACAATTTGCCGGCTTCTAATAAGTTTCAATATTTTCATTCTAATGCTGTCATGAAATCAATATGTTAACTATCACTTTAATGAGTCTAGGAAGTAATGATCTTCCTATTTAGGAATAAGGAGGAGAATATTCCCTCCTATTTTTACTTTTTTCTAACTTACATTTTTAATAACTTAAATTTTTAATATTTCTTTTATGTTTTCAGAAAGACAAAAAATCACCCTAAAAATATAGAGTACAAATTTATGACTTCTATTTCAATATTCCATATCCTCTACTTTCCTTCACTTCTCTCAGGTAAACACTGTTAAATGTTTTTAATATAACTTCCTAACTTTTCTCTAACATTTTATATTCACATAGTTCCTTCTTAACAGAAATCATAGTAGATAAGTCATAGTAGATATATTGTTATGTAATTATTTTCTCACAAAATAATATCTTTTTTTTTTTGAGACAGAATCTCGCTCTGTTGCCCAGGCTGGAGTGCAGTAGCACAATTTCGGCTCACTGCCACCTCCGCTTCCCGGGTTCAAGCAATTCTCCTGTCTCAGCCTCCCGAGTAGCTGGGACTACAGTCGTATGCGACAACGCATGGCTAATTTTTGTATTTTTAGTAGAGACGGGGTTTCACCATGTTGGTCAGGCTGATCTCGAACTCCTGACCTCAGGTGGTTCACCCACCTTGGCCTCCCAAAGTGCTGGGATTACAGGCGTGAGCCACCACACCTGGAAACGACAGAATAATTCCACGCAATTCCTCAAAGGTCTACCTCATATCTCATTCTATGTATAAACCTTTCCCTTCCTCTTTTTGCCTTAGTAAAAACAGCATTGCAAAGGATATTTTTAAGTATATATTTGGATATAAATGCATATATTCCTGAGCTCTTAATTCCTGGGAGTAAATTGCTGGGTCAAATAATATGCATATTTGATACTTTGATAGCATATGCTAATTTACATTCTCAAAAGTTCATGTAATTTAACATTTCACAACACTGTTTTAGAATACCCATTTCTGCCCAATTTGCACATTTATTTTTATAAAATTTGCCAAAGCATTAAACAAATGGGGTAACATTAACATATTCAAATATTACAGAAAAATGTAATATTTTCTTTATATTTAGCCAGGTTTTTTGTACAGTTAGTTTTTTCTGTTGGTTTGTAGGAGCTTTGTTGTATATATTATTTTAAATACTTTGTACATATGTGTTGTGTATATTATTTTAAATATTTTGTACATATGTATTGTAACAGGTTTCTATTGTAATAAAAAAAAAAGTAAACAAGCCCTGAATTTCTGTGGCTTACAAAAACAGCCATTACCTTTTCTTGATTATAGGTCTGCAAGTTGCCTGGGTTTGATAAATTTTTCTTGGTCGTAAATGAGCTGGACTCTAGTCTGGAGATCGGATTTAGGAATCATCCTCATGCCTCAGTCTAGAAACCATTAGCTACCTGGGAAAGTTTTCTCCTGCTAGTGACAAAAGTGCAAGAGAAGTGTGATCACATAAGTGCATTTAAAACCCCTACTTGAAAAGCATATGCATTAAATCTTTTCAAACACTACTTATCAAAGCAGGTCGCCTGGCCATGCCCCAAGTCATGACAAGAGTCATAAAAATGGGAAAATGAGTATTTGTGAATAAGTCAGCCTATTCACCACTATAATGTATTTTCTCTCAATCAACTGCTTATGGTTTTATTTTTGTGCCAGTTTGAAAACTAAGAGTTCTAATAATGTTTCTTTAGCAACTCTCAGTTTTGTGTCTTACTTAAGTCACTATGTTAATAATAATATTATCCAATATTGTCTTTTAGTTCTTTTACAGCATTGACTTTTACATTCAGACCCTTTAATCAAATTTTCAATTCATATATACTTTTTAAACAAAAACATTTTTGTGAATTCTAACTTATTTTTCCAATTTTCACAACATAATTTCTCTTAACTCATTTCTACGCAAGTTTGAAATGCCATCTTCATATTCTAAATTACTATATAAAAATTAGTTTCTTTTTTGATTCTTTCTTTTTTTTTCTGTTTATCAACTGCTGTATTCTTCTACCAAAACCACTTGGTTCTCATAGTTAAAGCTTTATAAAATGTTTGCTATATAGTTAAGTCCTATTTCATAATTTTTAAAATTTTTTCACCAATTTTTCTTGTTTCTTTTTCTGTATATTTTCTCTTGTGGGTCATCTGGAAAATATGCTTTCCTTAATCAATTTAAAAATCCTAAAAGTATTTTTAAATTTCAGATGGTTCTCCCTCTCTTTCCATATATATATATATGTATATATGTTCAATATATATTTATTCAATCTGAATATATATAGAATATATATGAATATATATTTAATCAGAATTAAATAAATATATATTCATGTATATTCTATATGTCGCTATATATATTCTATGTCTATATATATTCTATATGTCTATATAAAACCATCTGAAATTGCTAATATTTCTCCTTTTATAAGACATATCAAAATAGCAATTTATTAGTTCAACATAATATATAAAATTCACTTAGAGGAAATTACACTATTTAGTATTAACTCTTTCATCCAAGATTATGAATATCTTGAATCCTATATTTTTGTTTAGTTGGTTTAGTTTCCATCTAGGCCTTTCACTATCTTTTCTTAGATTATTTTATGCAATCTGAATATATATGAATGTATATAAGTATGTATTCATATATATTTAATTAGAGTTGAATATATATTCGTATATATTCTATATATATGAGTATATCTGTTAATATTAATTAAGTCTTGGAAGTTTAATTTGTTAATGAATGAGAATTGCTTTTCTTTTTATGTTCTGAAATGGAAAGTTATTCATTGCTCATGTTTATAGCAAAGCTGTTGGATTCTGTGAGTTCAAGTTGAAAGGAAGTTATGCATAGTGATTAATCTCAAGTGTTCTGAAACCAGAATACTTTGGTTCATATCCCAATTTCACCACTTATTTGGTGAATGACATTAAACAAGAAGTTAGTGCCCTTGGCTTCAGTTTCCCTCTCTACAAAAAACCAACAAAAAAATTGACTATAACACCTTATGCCATGAAGCATGGTTGTGAAGATTTAGTATATTAGTACAAGTTCACTGGCTCACACCAGTTAGAATGGCCATTATTAAAAAGTCAAAAAATAACAGACGCTGGCGAGGTTGTGGTGAAAAGAGAACACTTTTACACTGCTGGTGGAAGTGTAAATTACTTCAGCCATTATAAAAAGCAATATGGCAGTTTCTCAGATAAGTTAAAAGAGAATTAACATTTGACTCAGCAATCTCATTATTGGGTATATACCCAAAGGAATATAATTCATTCTATGATAAAGACATGCACGTGTATATTGCAGCACTATGCACAATAGGAAGGACATGGGACCAACCTAAGTGTGTATTAATGGTAGAGTGGATAAAGAAAATGTGGTACCTACATAGCATGGAATACTACACAGCCATAAAAAGAAAAAGATTGTGTTCTTTGCAGCATCATGGATGGAGATGGAGCCCATTATTTGAAGCAAACTAACACAGGAACAGCAAAGCAAATACCATATATTCTCACTTATAAATGGCAGCTGAACAACGAGGACACATGGACACAAACAGCAGAACAACAGACACCAGGAGCTACTTGAAGGTGAATGGTGGGAGGAGGGAGAAGATCAAAAAATATATATACCTATCAGGTACTATGCTTATTACCTGATTGAATAAATAATGTGTACACCATCCCCACAGTACACAGTTTACTTATATAACAATCCTGCACATGTACCCCTAAACCTAAAATGAAATTTAAAAGTAAAAAAAATTACATGTACATGTATAGCATTTAGGAATCATGTACTTCATAAATGCTCACTACAACCTTGCGTTTGTCTATTACACAAAAGTTTTATATTAACCCTAATTGAAACCCTAAATTGAATTGGCAATATAAACTGAGCAAAATGGGAGAAATTCAGAGAAAAAAAGCCAGATAAATAGGTGAGGTTTAACTGACACCATTAATCAGGTAAATGGGAAAACTAATGTATTTGAGTATTTCCTTTTAAAATAATTTTTGTTATTATAACTATGTGGTTTAATTTTTGTTTTTATTTATTTTAATTTTATTATTATTGTACTTTAAGTTTTAGGGTACATGTGCACAATGTGAAGGTTTGTAACATATGTATACATGTGCCATGTTGGTGTGCTGCACCCATTAACTCGTCATTTAACATTAGCTATATCTCCTAATGCTATCCCTCCCCCCTCGCCCCACCCCACAACAGGCCCCCATGTGTGATGTTCCCCTTCCTGTGTCCATGTGTTCTCATTGTTCAATTCCCACCTATGAGTGAGAACATGTCGTGTTTGGTTTTTTGTCCTTGCGATAGTTTGCTGAGAATGATAGTTTCCAGCTTCATCCATGTCCCTACAAAGGACATGAACTCATCATTTTTTATGGCTGCATAGTATTCAATGGTGTATGTGTGCCACATTTTCTTAATCCAGTCTATCATTGATGGACATTTGGGTTGGGTCCAAGTCTTTGCTATTGTGAATAGTGCCACAATAAACATACGTGTGCATGTGTCTTTATAGCAGCATGATTTATAATCCTTTGGGTATATACCCAATAATGGGATGGCTGGGTCAAATGGTATTTCTAGTTCTAGATCCCTGAAGAATTGCCACACTGCCTTCCACAATGGTTGAACTAGTTTATAGTCCCACCAACAGTGTAAAAGTGTTCCTATTTTTCCACATCCTCTCCAGCACCTGTTGTTTCCTGACTTTTTAAAGATCGCCATTCTAACTGGTGTGAGATGGTATCTCATTGTGATTTTGATTTGCATTTCTCTGATGGCCAGTGATGATGAGCATTTTTTCATGTGTTTTTTGGCTGCATAAATGTCTTCTTTTGAGAAGTGTCTGTTCATATCCTTTGCCCACTTTTTGATGGGGCTGTTTGTTTTTTTCTTGTAAATTTGTTTGAGTTCGTTATAGATTCTGGATATTAGCCCTTTGTCAGATATTTAAAGTAAGTGCAACGGTCATTACAGTCTATTTTGTATTATCACAATAGAAACATTGTATGTACCCTTTGGCTATCACCCCCATATACTCCACTCCCCAAAGCCTAAGCAACCTCCACTCTGCTTTCTCCCCCTATATATTTGTCTATTCTGGACATTGCTTATAAGTAAGCTAATACGTGTTTCTTTGTAATTGACTTATTTTGATTGGCATAATGTTTTCAAGTTCCATCCATGTTATAGAGTATATCAGTACTTAAATTCTTTTTTATGGTTGGATAAGTTTCCATTTTATGGATATATCCCATTACATTTCTTCATTTATCAATTGATGAGTTTTGGGGTTGTTTTTACATTTTGGTTATTATAAATAATACTGCTAGAAACATCCATGAACACACATTTTTGTTTGGACATATGTTTTTCATTTGTATTTGGTGCATCCTCAAAAACATATAGTAACTCTATGTTTAATCATTTGAGGAACTGCCACACTGGCTACACTGTTTTTCATTTCCACCAACGGTGTACATGTGTTCTGATTTCTTCATATACTCTCCTTGTTACAGTTGTCATTTTTAATTCCAGTCATCTTAGCGGGTGTGAGGCAGTATCTCACTATGGTTATAGTCACATTTTCCTGTGGGTTAATGATACTGAATATTTTTTCCCATACTTATTGGCTCTTTGTATATCTCCCTGGAAGAAACGCGTATTTAGATCCATTGCCATTTTTTAATTGGGTTATTTGTCTTTTATTTGTTGAGTTTCTGGATACAAATCTTTTATCATATATACGATTTGAAAATATGTTCTTTCATTTGGTAGTTTGTCTTTTCATTTTCTTCATAGTGTCCTTTGAAACAAAGTTTTACAAAAGCAGCAATCTTTTTCCTTGGTGATTATTCTATTTATTTACAAATAACTCATTTCATGTAAAATGCTGAATAGATTGTAGGGCTGCCATAACAACGTGTTACTAATTAGGAGGTTTAAACAACAGCTATTTATTATTTCACAGTTCTAGAGGCCAGAAGTCAAAAATCAAGGTGTTGGTAGCACTGATTTATTTTACGGGCTGTGAGGAAGAATCTGTTCCATGCCTCTCGCCTAGTTTTTGATGGTTTTCTGGCAATATTTGGCATTCCTTGTCTTGTAGAAGCATTACCCTAATCTTTGACTTCATCTTTACATTCTCCCTGTGTCTGTGTCTGTGTCCAAGTTTCATCTTTTTATGAGAACATCAGTCATATTGAATTAAGGGCCCACCCTCTTCCAGTATGACCTCATCTAAACTTAACTAATTAAACCTTCAACAACTTGATTCCAAGTAAGGACACATTCTGAGGTACTTGGGGTTAGGACTTCAACATATGAATTTTTGAGGGAACACAATTCAACTCGTAACAGATGCATTATCAAATAAATGAATATTTATTTCTTAGACAATAATAAAATTTTGAAATATATATGACTCTTGACTATTTGCAAAGTTTTGTTCCCCCCAACTTGTTCTCACTTGTATTTTTTCTCATAACCATCTAGTTCAACAAGAAATACTTATGCTTTATCGGTTTGTTTGTTTTTTGAGATGGAGTTTCACTCTTGTTGCCCAGGCTGGAGTGCAATGGCATGATCTTGGCTCACTGCAACCTCTGCCTCCCAAGCTCAAGTGATTCTCCTGTTTCAGCCTCCTGAGTAGCTGGGATTACAGGCCCCGCCACCAGGACCAGATAATTTTTGTACTTTTAGTAGAGACGGGGTTTCACCATGTTGACCAGGCTCGTCTCGAACTCCTGACCTCAGGTGATTCGGCTGCCTCAGCCTTCCAAAGTGCTGGGATTACAAGCGTGAGCCACTGCGCCCAGCCGCTTTATATCTATTTTATAAATGAAGCAAGCGGCATCCAGGGAGATTATCAGTTTATCAAATGCCTCAGTTTATTAAGTTACTGTGAACAAAAACATAGAAGTATTATCTTCTGGTGTATGTTCTCTCTGTGGCTTTTTACATCCCTTAGGGTAATGCTTGTATCTATTTAAAGGAAAGGTGACATCAATAAAAGTCACAATGCTTATAGGCTTCTATGATTATGTGAGAAATAAATGCTCTAGAAAAATGGCATAACATTTTATCCTCCAAGGCCAATGGCTACATTGTGGGATTTCTACTCAGCTAGATAATCTAGGAAACACCAAATAAATAAAGCAAAGTATTCCTGCTTTCAACATGCTTATAGCCTGTTAGGGAAGATAGAAATAATATGGAGTATGGTGTATAAGAAAAGAAGATTAGAGAAACTATGATGAATTGCTCAATTGTGTGATTTAGACAGCAAACAGGGAATTAAATTTGAATGATTGGAGTATTCTTGGATGAGTTTATTATGAAAATTGAACTTTAATTAGGGACCGGCGTGAGAGTATGGAGGCTGAAGCCATAGAAAGGAGAAATTATTCCAGCTGAGGCCAAAACATGAACCAAGGTAATAAACTGGAGTTGTAAATCCGCTCTCTGAGGGAAAGATACTGTTCAAATTATAGTGGCTGGTGAAAATAAATAATTGTATACTTAATAGTAATTTTAAAAATAAAACATAATTTTTCTCATTTTATTAGTTATTATAAATTTGTTGATTATTAAATTATTTTACTAATAGTTATAAAATTTTATGTTGATTCCAAAGCATTCATCCAGCAATAAGAAAACAACTCTTGAAAATAATATCAAGTGTTCAATTCACAGTCTTATGGAAAATTTGAGCATATTTAAAAAGGAGTGGATTATACTCCTTAGCACATTAAGTGCTTCATTAGTAACAAGTAAGCATGAAGTGTGAGCCAGGAAAGAGCAAAATTCCCCTCCAAAGAAAGTCAGTCCTAATCTGGTGGGTCAGTAGTTTAACCTGAAAGCCTACTCAATCCATCTCTATTTTTCTGGAACCTACCAACAAGGATGCCAAATGTGATCCACGCACTTGTCCACTAGAAACTGAATGGGAGCCATCAACTCATTTCACACAGGTCAGCAAACAGCAATCAGAGGCTAATGGCTTTCTGTCACCACTAACCCAGGCTAGGTGCAAAGGCCGACCTGGAGGTTAGAGGTTCTGCATCCAATTACCTATCGTAGGAGCTATCTGGTCCCCTCTAAAAAGTAAATTGCTCAGTGCAAAATTGAAAGTACTACCTGATTTGCTATTTTTTCAGTGCTGCTTTTGAAATGCCTAAGTTTCTAAAGTGGCAGATCTGATGGGCTGGCCTCTTTGCTCAGTATTCAGGAGGTTTGAGGGAGCAGTGATGAGAACTAATAAAAAGTAAAGTCAAGTTATGTTATGCCATGAAGTGAATCAAGATTCAATACGTGACAGAGACTCTTGGACTAAAACACTCATACAATTGTTGCTAAATGCAGGATATGTTATAACCCACACTTCATACATCAAAGTGTTTTTAAGGAAAGATTTTCATTCACAAAGTAACCATTAAATGATAATAGTGATTAGAGAGATGGATTTGTTGAAAATATTTACTTTTCTGGCTATATCACTAGGAAATTGAAATTGTATGAAAAGTAATCAACTTAAAACAACATTTAATATTAGCATACTGTGACTCTAGAAATGTTTATTTCGAAAACATTTTACCCCAAAAACTGTTAAGTGAGCAAGTTCCATATGTTTTGTCTTAGATTTTAGGATAGCTTTACCTTAAGGTTAATAGAAAAGCTGTCGAAAGTGCAAAATCAGGAATCATGGAAGAATATACTCTGAAATTAATTAAGATTAAACTTCAATCATCCTCAAAATCACAGGTTATATACAAAGCCCTAGTAATTTTTATTCATTTATTTCATCATTTTTCTTCAAGAAAATCCAAGAAATTTGGATGCATCTCTGTCACCAGACTAATGATATTATTAATCTATAAAAACCTATAAACACTGTGTCTATCTGTGCTCATCACTCTAACCAAAAATTACCAGAAACAATGTTCAGACAGATTCCTCTCTGTGGGCCTCTGGGGGGAGACACAGCCCAAAAAGTGGTTGCAGCATTTTCTCATGCTGATTTATAGCATAACTACACAAAGACACACGCGCACAAAAAAGTAAACACAAATGCAAACGTAAAGGTGAAGTAAAAACAGATACTAAGATCTTAAAATTGCTCAATATTTCTACTTAGAAAGAAATCTAAAATATCTCACTTACTTAGATGTCTATGCAATTAGTAAAGCTTAAAATTATATTTAGTTACACAGAAATTACATGGTTTTCATTTAAAAAAAAAAAAAAAAAGGCCTGGCTTGTCACCCTACAAAGCATTTTGTAGGGTGAAATAATTCCCAGAGTTCACAGATCTTATAAGACTCCAGATTATTTATTTTAGACTTTGGCTCAAATTATAACCATAATGATTCATAGTAGCCATGGAACTGCCCATAAAATGCATGTGTACCTGTGTATATACTGTGTAATTCAAAGTAGTTATGTATTAGAAGGAGCACACCAGTTACTTTTTCAACACATTTTAGAAATGTATTATAGAATGTCTGCACAATATTGATACAGTAAACCGATCTTAGAGTGAGGTCAAGGAAATATCCTGAGCCATGTTCTTTTAACAAACAGTTTAAATTCTAAAATAACTTTCCTTTAAAGCTATGGATTTTTTGGGGTTTTTTTGCTAATACATTTTAAAATACTATATTTTAAACTAGTTTTAGGCTCAGATAAAAGTTTTTGAAAGTATAGAATATTCTCATATACGTTCACCCCTCTTCCATTTATCTTAACACCTTATATAATCATAGTAAATTTATCAAAACCAGGAAATTAATGTGAGTCAAAACTACTAACTAAGCTGCAGAGATTATCTGAATTTCACTCATTTTCTCAGCATTCTTTTAAGGAAAAAATGATCCCACATTGTATTTCATTTCTGTTCAAGAATTCAATGTAGAATTCCATATTGTATTATTTTAGTTTTTTCTCCATAGGCCCCTCTAATCTGAGAGTTTTACAGTCGTTCCTAGTCTTTTATTCTCCTGTTTTTCTTTTAATAGGCATTTCATTTATTTTATGAGGCAAAAAGACGGATGCCAATGCCATTGCTTATCTATTGTGACAATGTTTTCATTATTATGCCAACCATTAAAAGCTAAAAGCAAAATTATCAATAATTATGTGAAAATATGCAAAACCACAAAAATATTTAGTATTATATAGGGATGAAATAATTTGAGCACATATAATGTATGGCCATCATATTATGTATCTTTCCATTATCTCATTTTCATAATATCTGTTAGAAATAAGTACCTTTAAATCCTATTTTATATGTAATGAAATTGAAACTCAGAAAAGTCACTTGCCTAAAATCATTTAGCTGATTAGTAGCAGATCAGAATTTTAAAACAAGAATTTTTTTAAAAAAATATAATTCATGTGCTCTATACAATATCTAAAGCATGAGTTTTGCTGAAAGGCATGTATAGTTAGATTTTTGTAGAATGTAAGACTTGAATCCTAAAAGATCAAGACCTTTTCCTGTTGTCTTGCACAGCTTTCAATTGCCCATTCACAATAAAATGAGACACAACTCATAGAACTGTTAGTTGCCAAGCCGTGACATAGCCAACAGAAGCTTAACTTTGTGCTTAACATTTCCATGTTAATTAGGCAATGTCAAATATCACAGACATGTAGATAAGTCATAGTAATATCTTTCACATACATTTCAATGAATTAAATACTCTCTATCTGAATACTGATCTTACATTCCATCCTTCATATTGCCTCCCAGTTTTTAGAGGAGTCATGTTCAGAGAGGCCTATTCATTTATATCTTCTCCAAATTTTCTTGTTACTAAGTCACCATGCAACCTGAGATGCCCATCATGAAGTGGATGCTCTTTGACCCATCAAGCCATAAATTTAGGTGTGTATAGCAACACTCCATCATTAAATGGAAGCAGTATATATGTAATTCCTGAAGGCATAAGTAAGTTACATTAAAAAATGGCCCAAATGATTGTGATCCCCACTTCGGCTACACTGCCTTCTTTCGGCCAGTCTGCATGTATGCTTCCACTGGGAAGCATTCCATTGAACTGGAAATTCAGACTCTTGCCTGGCCATTTTCTACTCTTCATGCTTCTGAATCAACAGAAAAAGAAGGGAGTTATGGTGCTGTCTAAGATGCCTGATCTTGATTTCATGGTTCTTGTGGAGAACTCTGCTATTCCATAGTGTAGGTAAAGAAGAGCAGGTCTTGGATATAGGGGATTTTTTAGGGCTTATCTTAGTATTACCATTCTCACTGACTAAGGTCAATGGCAAATTTCAGCAACTAAATTCAGGTAGGTCTACTAATGGCTGAGACCTTTTAGAAATAAAAATTTGGGTCTTCTCACCAGGTAAAAAACCACAATCAGTTGAGGTACTTGATACAGGAAAGGGAATGTAGAATGTGTACTGGAAGAAGGTAGTTGTAAATACCAGCTATAACAATGTGACCACTTATAGAATAAAGGATTGTAGTAGTTACGTGTATTCCTTTTTCTTTTGCATACACACACACACACACACACACACACATACATACATAGAAATATCTTTGATTTCCTTCCTCCCTTATTCCCTTATCATGTAACATAAAATGTATTAGCTTATTATCATAACATTTAAATGATGCTATTTTACATCATAGTACCTAAGGAATGTAAAGGAGAAGAAGAACAGTAAACATTACTCAAAGGCTGTATCTTCTCTTCTGGGAAAGGAGTTAGTACATTTTAAGTTGTACACAGGATAGTTTTATCATGTTAGGCAGAATTATGACCTTGCTATTGTCTTTATTTGTAGATTAAGTAAGGCTTAAGGAGTATGCATGAGTGCCAAGGTGACAAAGTCTGAACTTGTGATGCTTAATTTTATGTGTCAACTTTACTTGGATACTGAGTTCCCACATATTTGGTTACACATTATTTCTCCATTTGTCTGTGATAGTATTTCTGGATGATACTAGCACTTCTATCAGGGGACTGACTAAAACATATTGTCCTCCCGGATGTAAGTGGGTATCATGCAATCCACTGGAGGCCTAAATAGAACAAAAGGTGGGATAAGGGAAAACTCAGATTCTCTTCCTGTTTTTTTTAGGCTGGGTCATTGGCCTTATCCCGCACCGAAGTTGAAACTTACACCATCTGTTCACATCATCAGTTCTTCTGGTTCTCATGCTTTTGAACTTCAACTGGCACAATTCCACTGGCTCTCCTTAGTCTCCAGGTTGCAGATGGCAGATTATAAATCTCCTTAGCCTCCACCTTTATGTGAGCCAATTGATATATATATTAGCCAATTAATATATTATATATTAATATAGTAGTATATTATATATTAATTATATGAAATATATATTAGCCTCCATATTTATGCCAATTGATATATATAAGCCAATTAATATATATTAATATATTACATATGATATATTTATTAATGATTAACCGTATTAAAATTATAACGATATAATATTAATTATATTAATATTAATTAATATATTTAATATGTTCCTTCTTGTTGGTTATCTTTTTCTGTAGAATCCTAACTATTACTGACACCTCTTTGAGGACAAAGGAAGTAGCTTTCTGCAAGCCAAAAAGACCTCAGAAAAACAACAAATCTTCCAAACTCTTGATTTTGACTTTTTGCCTCCAGAATTGTGAAGAAATAAATATCTGTTATTTAAGTAGGCTAGTGTCTGGTATTATGTTATGGCAGCCCTAGTAAACTAATATAGGTGTTCATAACCATAGGAATAAACAAAGGAGCCAGACCTGGGTAGCACACAAACGACTTGAAAGAACGTGGAGTGAGTAGTAAGTGACTTTCCCAGGCCATAGTAGGGCCCTTCTTCTCTTTCAATCATATAATTAGTTTTTCAGGCATTGTTAGCGAGCTACATGAATAAGTAGACCCAGCAGACATTCATTCTTGAGACTGTATTCCCCCAAAAGACTGAATATATGGGCAGCAAACCTCAATGAAGAGAATATTGAAATAAGGCTACTCCTATCTGTTCCACACATCACACATATTGTGTTGGTTTCTATTGCTCACCAATTAGTTAAAACTTCATGGACTAAGATAATATTTATTTATGATATCAAAGTTTCTGTAGGTCAGAAACCCTGGCACTGGGCTGGGCGCGGTGGCTCACGCCTGTAATCCCAGCACTTTGGGAGGCTAAGGAGGGTGGCTCATGAGGTCAGGAGTTCGAGACCAGCCTGACCAACATGGTGAAACCCCGTCTCTACTAAAAATACAAAAATTAGCTTGGCATGGTGGTGCATGCCTGTAAACCCAGCTACTCAGGAGGCTGAGGCAGGTGAATCGCTTGAATCCGAGAGGCAGAGGTGGCAGTGAGCCGAGATTGCGCCACTGCACTCCAGGCTGAGTGACAGAGTGAGAGTCCATCTCAAAAAAAAAAAAAAAGAAAAAAGAAACCCTGGCTCTGGTTAACAGCGTCTTCAGCTAAGTGGCTACCGGTTTTGAAAAAGGGATGCTTTCTGGGCTGCATTTTCATGTGGAGCTTGAGATCTTCTTCCAAAAGCACTGATTATTGACAGAATTCAGTTCTTTGAAGTTGTAGGTAGAGTTCTTGTTTTTTGTTTGTTTGTTTTTGTTTTTTCTACTGGCTGATGACAAAAGTTTGCTCTCAGACCCTAGAGACTGCCTTTTATTCTTTAACACATGGACTCCTCATCTTCAAACCCAGCAATGGAGAATGTTCCTACTGTGGAATCTGCCTGGTTTCAGTAAGGGCTCAGTCCCATTTAAGGGCTCACCTGATTAGGTTAGTGACACCCATATAATTTCTCTTTTGATTGACTCAAAGTCAACTTATTAATAGTCTAATTATGGGAGTGATATTCCACCACATTCACCAGGAAACAGAATTTTCCAAGGCATGTATAAGAAAGGGCAGGAATATCTAGGGCCATCTTAGAATTCTGTCTAATTCTGCCTTCCACATATTAAATATAATGTGGAGAAACTGTATTCTATTTGTTGATAGAACAAATTTTAGAGCTATACTTCCTGAGTTCAAAATCCAATTGTGCTATATAATAATCATGCAATCTTGAGCAACCTACTTAAATTTAATGACTTCTGTTTCCTCAACAGTAACATATACATTATAGTAGTACACATTATAATGGTATAATAGTACACATTATAATAGTATTATACAATTAATATATTATACATATAAACACCTACAGCAATATGGAAGGTGTATATGTATATACACCTTCCATATATGTATATATATAGAGAGAGAGAGACAGAGAGAGAGGAGAGAGCTTAGCGCAATATGTAGCACATAGCACTATATATATTTTGGCTATTTTATTATTAGCCAGAATAGAAATATGCTGAAGCAAGTGATAAAATTTCTTTTATTATTATACTTTAAGTTTTAGGGTATATGTGCACAACGTGCAGGTTTGTTACATATGTATGCATGTGCCATGTTGGTGTGCTGCACCCATTAACTCTTCATTTAACATTAGGTATCTCCTAATGCTATCCCTCCCCACTCCCCACACCCCACAACAGGCCCCAGTGTGTGATGTTCCCCTTCCTGTGTCGATGTGTTCTCATTGTTCAATTCCCACCTGTGAGTGAGAACATGCGGTGTTTGGTTTTTTGTCCTTAAGCGATAGTTTGCTGAGAATGATGGTTTCCAGCTTCATCCATGTCCCTACAAAGGACATGAACTCATCATTTTTTATGGATGCATAGTATTCCATGGTGTATATGTGCCACATTTTCTTAATCAAGTCTATCATTTTATTAAGTTTTCCTGCCCTGCTCTTGGTCCCAGAGCTCTTCCATAAGTCCCTATTTATCCATTTCTTCTCCAGTGTTTTGACTCCCTTACCTAATTGCCAATTAATATTTTCTAATGTGTGCTAGTTAAGTAACTGTTTCTCAATTTACATCAAGACTTACATTGTACTAGGGTGGGAGGTGGCATTTAAACACCAACAAAACAGCAATGACTTAAAAGAATACATTTCTCATGCATGAATACAACAC
Organism: Homo sapiens; assembly: GCF_000001405.40. NCBI lineage: Eukaryota > Metazoa > Chordata > Mammalia > Primates > Hominidae > Homo > Homo sapiens. Next base: position 80,791,743 of record NC_000003.12, read on the forward strand.
CTAATAATAGGTCTGTGCAATATTTTGAAGTAATATTTTATTTACATACTCATGATATTTATTTGATTTTTATTAGTGACAAGAAAATTATAATGATGAATGATTACCTTTAGTAGACTATGGTTGCTTAAAATAATTTTATATATACTAATTTATTAAAAAAATTATCTGGCCCCATCAATGGAAAAAGGGGCATGAAAATAAGATTTACAGGACAATCAAATTGATTTACAATTTATGTTGAACATTATTAGTTATCTGACTGGTGAGGAATGCCTTATGAAATCTTTCATTTTAAAGTTATTATTAATTGAAAAATAAAAATATAACAATGATAAAAAAGAAAATATGACATAAGTAGTGACAAACATGTAGTTGAAAAATAGAGAAATTGCAAATCACAACACCCAGAATCTAAAGATAATTCCCCAAATAATTTTCTCTGTGACCTTGTGAAAAATCTCAAAATTATTGTGGGATTCTTCACACTTAACAACAACAAAGGTTGAAAATTCAGATATTAATTCTCTGTGACTAAGAACTAATATCTGCATTAGCTTCATTGGTAAATTTATAATAAAGGCCAGTCTTTTTTTTTTCTATTTTGATCCGTAAACCAGATAAGCCTGAGTGAACTATTTTTATAATAGGTAACATTCTAATGTGAATTTATAATTTTAAAATGTTTTCGTATCTGATATATTATTTAATTTTCACATACACAATGTGATAAATAAGGCAGTAATTGTTATTCCCACATTATCAATGGAATAAGGGTGATTCAGGGAAGTTAAGTAACTTGCAAAGAAGCATACAGTTAATGAGTCTTAGCAACATGACTTAACTTTAGACTTCCGTGTTTGCTTTTCCAGCACATCATGCTACCATTTTCGTGTTATTTTCACTATAACGTACACTAAAACTTCTATACTTTTAAACATTTAGAGAAAATAAGACAGGGATAACACACAAAAAAATTGTTTCCAACATGGACTGGTTCAGCCCTCCTTAGGCAAGCTGGTGGTGTTCACTCCCAGGAAGTCACCATATTGATTCTGAACTTAGTGCAAACACCTACAGGCTTAGCACAAAATAGCCAAGAACTCCTGGGCTCAAGTGATCCTCTTGCCTCAGCCTCGTGAGTACTTGAGACAGACATTTTTCAAAATAAAACATAAGAAATGGCCAAAAGGCATATGAATAAATTCTCAACATTACTAATCATCAGAGAAATGCAAATTAAAACCACTATGAAATACCTTCTGACACCTGTCAGAAAGGCCAATGTTAAAAGACAAAAAAAAAAAAAGTTGTTGGCAAGGATGCAAAGAAAATAGAACACTTGGCCGGGAGCAGTGGCTCATGCTTGTAATCCCAACACTTTGGGAGGCTGAGGCAGGCAGATCACAAGGTCAGGAGTTCAAGACCAGTCTGACGAACATGGTGAAACCCTGTCCCTATTAAAAATACAAAAAGTAGCTGGGTGTGGTGGCGTGCACCTGTAATCCCAGGTACTCAGGAGGCTGAGGCAGGAGAATTGCTTGAACCCGGGAGGCAGAAGTTGCAGTGAGCCAAGATTGCATCTGGGCCACAGAGTGAGGCTCTGTCTTAGCAACAACAACAACAAAAGAAAATAGAACACTTCTGCTCTTGTGGATGTGAATGCAAATTAGTACAACCTCTATGGGAAACAGTATGGAAATTTCTCAGAGAGCTAACTGTAGAATTAACGTTCAATCTAGGCATTTCTGTCTGTCAATACTGTGTATCCACTCAAAGGAAACGAAATCATTATATCAAAAAGATACCTACACTTGTATGCTTATTGCAGCACTAATCACAATGGCAAAGATATGGACTCAATCTAAGTGTCTGTCAACAGATGACTGGATTTTAAAATGTAATATTAAACGTTTTATATATATATTTATATTCACATATATAATTTTATTCTTTTTCACAGCTGAATAGTATTCCATTGCATATATATGAAATATATATAATATTCCATTGCATATATATTTATATATTGCATATATATGCAATGGAATACTATTCAGCCATGAAAAAGAATGAAATCATATTTTTGCAGCAACATGGGTGAAACTGGTGCCATTATCTTAAATGAAACCAGTCAGACACAGAAAGACATGCTCTCACTCATAAGTGGGAGCTAAATTGTGTGTATGCATAGATGTAGAGTGTGAAGTGATAGACAGTGGAGACTTGGAAGGGTGAGGGCCTAGAAGGGGAGTAGATGATGAGAAATTACTTAATGGGTACAGTGTATATTATTGAGGTAATGGAAACCTTAAAAGCCCTGACTTCACCTCTATGTAATATATACATGTAACAAAATTGTACTTGTATCCCATAAATTTATACAAATAAAAAATTGTGGTCAGACCTGAGTAACACAATATTGTACACTGTCCTTCCCATTTGAGTGGTTCTAAGAGTAATAAATGTACTAGTCAAAATGACTCAAGGTGAATTTTAATAATTAGTTTAATTAGATATTCATGAAAATTCAATAGTTACTTGAAAATTTTGGTTTTTACAACAATTTGAAGTAATTCCAAAGATTCCAGGCCCCATATTTTAAATTATCTTCGTTTTTTCTTTGAGAAATAAAAAATATCTAGGTCTAAGAGGTGTCTCCATGTTGACCTTGCAACAAGAATAAAGGTAATAGCTTTAAAAATATAATTAGGTGATCAATAGAGTACTTGAATAGCATATTTCTTCTTGTATCATCTTTAATTTCTCAGTATTTATATCTGGGTCGTAATTTACACCATTGCAAGCTAAGGTTTAGAGGTGCTGATAGAACTTATGCCATTTTCTTATCTTACCACTATAAAAACTTTTGCTTTCAGTGGGACAAGTTGTCATGAAATCTTTTAATTCCATTGATCAGAGTTCAAAAGAGAGACAAAAGATCTGCAGCACAGTAACAATTGACAGAGTATAACTTCAGCATTAACTGTATGCATTAAGAATAACATTCCTAAACACAAGCAAAAAATACAGCATGTATCAAGCTTTATTTCTAATTATATATGTGATTTAGAACAAATAATTTAACCTCTCTCTTCTTTTGTCTCTATTAATTTATACTCTATGAAGCATTTTTGTGCCTTAGCATATTTCCACGGTAAAGTAATGTTAAAGAAAAAAAGAAAGAGTCATCTGGAAAAGGATAATGATATAGCAATTGTCAAACAGTTTGAATTTTTTGGAAGAAAAATATGAAGCAATTTGAAGCATTATTATTTAATGAAAGCAGCTATATCTCTATCTCACATTCACATGAACATAACTGTATAAATTATAAATGAATCTTTTTGCTTTGAATAGAAAAAGGAGGGTGAAAATTGTCATTCGTCAATAACTTGGTATGTCAAAAATAAAGAAACTAGCGTTATCTACTAGTTTAAAAAGCAAATCAACCTAATGGTAAAATATCCTTCTTTCAATGATATGAAAAATGTTTATTTTACTGATTTACTCCCTGTCTTTTTATTGTTAATGTAAATGTTAATTTAAAACTGTTCATCAATATTTTTTATCTTTCCTGTCTTGAAATAATATCATTGTTTCCCCACACCCTAACTTGAATAGAGATCTTTTGTCATAGATATGATAGCATTATTTTTCATATTTCTTATTAGGTCTTTCCACTGTTTATATTCACTATCCAATAAATACTTATTAGGCATCTGTTAAATGCAGTGTACTAGAAGTTTTGAGTTTTTTAGGGATACCACAACTAGCTATGATTCATGGTAGATGTTTACATCTTGTTTTTAATGACATCTCAGCAGGTGTAAACTAGCTCAACTAGCGGACGGGAGAAGGGTAGTCTATAAGGACATTTGGTGTGTGCCTCTCAGGCCAGTCTCCGTTTACATGACAAGAACGTAATCCAGGGAATCATGCCAAAGTCTTTCTATTATCTCAACTCTCATTTCTACCTTAAAGCCTTTTGTTGACATTAGACTTTCAGGACCGTCTTTCTTCAAGGATTCAGAGCTTTTCTCTGTCTTGGCCTGCCATTTTAGAAAAGTGTACTTTTCTTTGTTCTACATGTTTCTATAGACATTTTTGTTGGTTAAAAAATTTAATTTTCAATTTTTGTTTACAGAAACATTCACTGCTAAATTTTGACTCGATATCTTGACATTTTCTGGAAAAATTTATTTAATATTTATTCACTTTCTGTTGAATAAGAATAACATGCAGTGCCTCTCTTGAAGTAGCTTAACTAGTAATTTGGGAAATATGTTATTTTAACAACTATTTTTATAATGTCCAACTATATAAAGAGCACTGTGTATATTGCTGTGAATTACAATAAAAATGGTTTATAGCCTCAAAAAGCTAATAGTCAAGTGAGAGAATCTGACATGCATAGTATGTTACAATAGCATAAAAATATGTTAAATGCTTATTAGCCATGCAAAGTATAACACAAGCACTAAAAACAAAAACAGAATAATTTTACATGAGCATAAGGAAAAGATTAATGGAGGAAATTACATTCAATATGAATGAGGTTTCTAATGGAGAAAATATTGAATATGGGTAATGTTTCTGTTAGTGGAAAAATGTCAGAGTATATTCTTACAATGAGAATTTTGTTAGAATAACGACTTTAAGGTAAGAAAATGTGGCTTTTTAAAACAAGTCTGACATGGGTTGTATATACAATATCAGAGGTTCAAAGCAGAGAATATGACTAAAATGTAGAAAAATCAACACTGGCTTTAAATCTATTCTAAAAGATGCAGTGCTGATATAATAATGATTATCTCAGAGACTAACTGATATTGATTTTGATAAGGCAATCCAGCAACAAATGTAACAGAGATACTATACTCTTCAAGAATTCCTGGAAAAATTGGGGACACAGATGTTAAATAGGAGATATTTGTTTTCCTAAGTGGATATTTAGGCCTGAGGTACATTAACAGAACCATAAAAATGCTAGTTGATGAGCAATATGAAGATTAGAAATATGAAGTCCCCTATGACTTACAAATGAAGTTGGTGTCTGGAAGTTTTTTACATCATTTGAAAGAGATACTGGGAAATTCTTATAAGACTATAATAATTAAATTAAAATATGCATGTAATTGATCCTTTTAAATAGCGTATTGTTATGTGTCTGGGAAAAAAAAGACGTATTTTTGTGAAGTTGATTTGGATCTGAAGAGCTGTTTATAATTGGCACATAATATCCGTCATCCCCTTGAAATTACAAACACAAAAATATTCTGGAAAATCACATGTTTTCTTTTAAACCCATCGCACTATTCTTAGAGAAAATGGTAGTTATATTATTTGTAGCTTTATCATTAGAAAAACAAACTTTCCTTAAGAGTTCACATGTCCACAGTAAAACATTGTGCTAAAGTTATAAATGTTTAGAGCCTACTCTCCAATAGTATAAGAGAGAGTATAATGATATGCAAGAAGTTTAAATAAATCTTAATAATGTTTTCTAAAATTTATCATCTATTTTAAATTGAAATTTTGAATGTAATTTTATTTCATTTGATGAAGGTTATAATAATATTATTTTAATATTTTAAAATTAAAGTTCGTATTATTTTAACACGTAATTGAGATTTTGCTCTGAAGAATTAAAATTATATAATCTGTGCATTTGTTAATCAATCACCAACAAATGAAATGCATCATCATCAAATAGTAATGTGTGTCTGTCATAGGAACTTAGAATGAGCGTAACCTAAGCTTTTATTATATTACAATAGTAATAAAATAAATAAATATATTAATTATATTTTATTATATTACAAAAGTACAAGCTATTCCAGCTTGTAAAGCCTCTCATTAAATAGTGTGAAAAATACAAATGAAAATAATGAAATATAAACTTATAATGAAAACTGCCATAGGGATACTCTATCAGAACCCTGCTTTAAGTTTATTTTAGATTGGTAAACTTTAATCATAATGAAAAGAATTATGAAAACAACATATACTGAACTATTGAACGTATGTTTATCTTTGTAAACCTGATTACTAAGTTTCCATAAAAACATGCTAATACTAACTCTATTTACTTTTACAGTTTTTATCCCTGTTAACCCTTTTGACATAATGTTTAGTATGGATAAATGGAAAATGTAAGGGCTTTAATATAACATTCTAAGAGCCTTATATTAGTTGTCAGTAACATTGTAGATTTACTCTGATTTGAGATAATATCTATGTAGTAAATGTTAACTATAAAATGTTATAACATGCAGGGGTGGGGATCAATCCACCCTTGCCTACCACAACCAGAGCTTACAGGTAACCCTGAGGAGCCTAAGGACAGGGCTGCCATCTCTGGTTCTTCCCTCCCCCAGTACCCAAGCATAGTTTCTGGGGACATGGAAGATAAAGGAAATCTTATTTTCCTTTATCTATGTGTCTACAATGCAGATACAATGCAAATAAAATTTTATCCATAGCATTTTATAGTCAAACTATCAAAAGTCAAAGACAGAGAATTCTAAAAACAGCAAGATCAAAGTGTCTAGTCACTTATAATAGTGCACTCATCAGACTACAGCAGATTTCTCAGCAGAAACCTTACAGGCTAAAAGAGAATGGAATGATATATTCAAAGCGTTGAGATAAAACAAAACAAAAAGAGCTTGCAAGAGATAATGTGCCCAGCGAACTTATCCATTATAAATAAAGCAAAAATAAAGACTTTTCTAGACAAGCAACAGCTGAAGGACTTTATCATCACTAGATTGAACCTACATGAAAGGCTTAAAGGAGTCTGACTACAGCTACAAGCAAAGGGATAATGATATCCAAATTCATGAAAACACACAAAAGTATGAAACCACTGATAAAGCAAACACATAAATAAGGAAAAGAAAACACTTAAATGTTAACACCACAGAAAATTATCAAACCACAAAGATAATAAGGAAAAAAGGAATAAAATATATATAAAACAATCAGAAGTTAGTGAAATGACAGAAATATGCCATCACATAACAATAATGACCTTAAATGTAAACAGATTAAACTTTCCACTTCAGATACAGACCGGCTGAATGAATTTTAAAAATAACCCAACTATATGCTACCTACATGAGACTCATCTCAATTGTAAAGATACATATAGACTGAAAGTAAATGGAGGAAAAAAGACATTCCATGAAAACGGAAATGAAATGTGAGTAGGAGCAGTTGTACGTAGATCAGAAAAAAAAAAATTCAAATCAAAAATAGTAAAAAGAGACAAAGTTATCATAATAAACAAATCATTTCAGCAACAGTTTATACTACTTCTGAACATATATGTACCCAATATTGGAGCACTCAGATACATGTCAAATACTATTAGATCTAAAGGGAGAGATAGACTCTAATACAAAATAGTTGGAATTTCAGTACCCACTCTCAGCATTAAACAGATAATCTAGATGGAAAATTAACAAAGAAACATTGAATTTAAACTGCATATTACACTAAATTGACCTAACAGACATTAAGATGACATTTCACCCAATAGCTACACAGTATAATTCTTCCCATCAGCACATGGAACATTCCCTAGAATAAATCGTATGTTAGGACAAAAAATAACTAGTCTCAACAAATTTTTTAAAAATTGAAATCATATCAAATATCTTATCAGACCATAAAGGAATAAAACCAGAAATCAATAACAAGAGGAGCCTGGAAAACTGTACAAATACAAACCTGGGAAACCTGAATAACCATTGGATCAAAGAAGAAATTAAAGAGAAAATAAAAATACTCCCCCCAAAAAAGAAATTGAAACACAAAATAACAAAACCTATGGGATATAGTAGAAGCAGTGCTAACAGAAAAGTACAGAATAATGAACCCCTGTATGAAAAAAGTAGAAAGATTCCAAATTAAAAGTCTAACAGTGAACCTAAAAGAACTAGAAGATCAAGAAGCTAAACCCAAAATTATTAGAAATAAATGATAAAAATCAGACCTGAAATAAATAATATAGAGACAAAAAATACAAAGCATGTAAAAAGTTGATTTCTTGAAAATATAAACAAAATTGATAAACCATTAGCTAGACTAAGATAAAAAGATAAAAGACCTAAATAAACAAAATTATAAATAAATAAGACATTGCAAATAATACCACAAAAATACAAAAGATAACTGAAGACAATTGTGAACAACTATAAACTAAAAAACTGGAAAATCTAGAGAATATAGTGAAATTTCTGGACACACTCAAACTATTAAGATTGAATCAGAAAGAAATAGCAAACCTAAACTAATGAACATTGAATACTGAGACTTAATTATTAAAAAAAAAAACAAAAAAGAATGTAGGACCATATGACTTTACTGCTAGATTCTACCCAGTATTCAAAGAACTAACATCATTTCTTCTCAAATTATTTCTACAAAATTGAAGAGGAGGAAATTCTTTTTAACTTATTCCGTGAGGTCAGCATTACCAATACCAAAACCAGACAAATATGTAACAAATATATAAAACTACACAGAAAACTACTGATGAACATAGATGCTAAAATGCTTAACAAAATATTAGCAAGCAAAATTCAATAGAATATAAAAAAGACAATGCCACATGATCAAGTGGGATTTATCCTTAAGATGTTAAGGATGATTCAACATACATAAATCAATAAATATATCAGATCAACAGAATTAAAGGCAATAATTATACAATCATCTCAATAGATGCAAAGATGCCGTTGATAAAATTCAACATCCCTTTATGATAAAAATGAAAAAACTAGGCATTGAAAGAACATACCTGAACATAATAAAAGCCATAGATGACAAACCCACAGCTAACACCATAATGAATGCTGAAAGGCTGTAAGCCTTTCCTCTAAGAACTAGAAGTAGACAAAGATGCCCACTTTCACTACTTCTATTTAATGGAGTACTGGAAGTCCTAGCCAGAGCAATCAGGCAAATGATATCATCTTTGCAGATGATAGCTTCTATTTCTCTTTGCAGATGATACAATCTTACATTTAGAAAATCGCAATTGCTCCACCAAAAAACTTTTAGATTTGATAAATAAATTTAATAAACTGCAGGATTTGAAATCAATGTACAAAAACTGGTAGCATTTCCATACATCATTAATAAACTAGCTGACAATGAAATCAAGAAGATAATCTCATTTACAATATCTACCTCCTAAAAATAATACCTAGAAATAAATTTAACCAAAGAGATGAAAGAGCTCTTCAAGGAAAACTACAAAACACTGATAATAAAGAGGTTATGAACAAATAGAAAAACATACCGTGCTCATATATAGGAAGAATCAGTTTGTTTAAATGACTATACTGACTAAGGCAATCTACAGATTCAATGCAACCCTTATTGAAGTAGCAATGTTATTTTACAGAGAATTTTTTTAAAAAATCTAAAATTCAAATAGAATAAGAAAAGAGCCCAAATAACTAAAGCAATCCTGAACATTAAGAACAAACTTGCAGGCATCGCACTACCTGACTTCAGAATATATTACAAGGCTATAGTAAACAAAAGAGCAGGGTACTGTTGTAAATATAGATACATAGACAAGTGGAATAAAATAGAAAACCCAGGAATAAATACACGTATTTGCAGCCAACTGATTTATGACAAAGACACCAAGAACAAGCATCAGGGAAACAACACTCTTTAAAATTGGATATCTGTGTGGAAAAATAAAACCATATACAAAAATCAACTCAAGATGTAAAACCTGAAACTGTAAAACAACTAGAAGACAACTTAGGGGAAACACTTCAGAATCTGTCTGGGCAAAGATTTTATGGAGAAAACCTGTTGAATTGAAGACAAATATTCTAAACTATTCATCTGACAAGAAACTAATATTGAGAATAGACAAGGTACTCAAACAACTGAATAGTAAAATTGAAAACAAAAACAAATAATTCCATTCAAAAATGGGTAAAAGACATGAATAGCCATTTCTTAAGACATACAAATGACAAAAGGTATATGAAAAAGTGCTCGTTTTCACTAACCATAAGAGAAACGCAAATCAAAACCATAATGAGATATCATCTGACCCCAGTTAGAATGACTATTATGAAAAAGACAAAAAATAATAGACGCCAGTGAGGATGCAGAGAAAATGGAACTTTTCTACAGTGTTAGTGAGAATGTAAATTATTACACCCATTATGAAAAGCAGTATGAAGGTTTCTCAAAAGAACTAAAAATAGAATGACTATACTGTCCTGCAATTCTCCTTATCTAAAGTAAAATCAATGAGTATATAAAAATAATCTACACTTTCATGTTTATGGCAGCACCATTCACAACAGCAAAGATATGAAATCAATATAAGTGTCTATCAATGAACAAATGGATAAAGCATTTATGGTATATTTACACAATGGAATACTGCTTGGTCATAAAACAGAATAAGATTATCCCATCTGCAGCAACATAGATAGAACTACAGGTCATTATTTCAAGTTAATAAGAAATGCGTTCTCACTTGAATGTGGGAGCTGAAAAATTTGATCTCATGGAAATAGAGAGTGGAATGAAATACACCAGAGGCTATGCAAGGTGTGTGGGGGAACGGGGTGTGAAGAGAGGTTGGTTAATGAGTACAAACGTGAAGTTAGAGAGAAGAAATAAGTTCTAATGTTTGATAGCAGAGTGTAATGACTATAGTTAACCCTCATGTATTGTATATTTAAAAATAGCTAGAAGAAAGGAGTTGAAATGTCACCAACACATAGAAATGATAAATACTCGAGGTGATAGATACCCCACATACCCTCATTTGATCATTATAGTCTATGCATGTAATGAAATATCACTTATACCCTATAAATATGTAAAAATATTTGTATAAATTAATTTAAAATACACTATTGCTATGTATTTTATACTATATATCAATTATTTCTTATTGTAAATACAATCATTTAGAAAATATGGTAAAATATAAAGTAAAAATGTGTAACCTAATTTTGGAAGTGAAATTAATAAAATTAATTATCTACCCATTTGCTGTCATTCCTCCATAGAAAATAAAACATTTAGAACCCATTATCTCAAGTCCCCACAGAAATAATTATGAAATTTATATCATGCCTATTGCTAAATGACTATTTTATAAAATATGCTTTCATATTTAATAACTATTTTGATTTGCCTATTGTTTATCATAATATTAGTAATATTATGGAGACTTTACATATAGTGAAATTCTAGCTCAGCATCAGATTTTGTGGTTGGTTCTAAGGTGGTCCCATTGATCTCCACCTCCTCGCGTTCATACCCTCAATTCCCTCCCTCTTTCATGAGGGCTAGACTTAATGATTTGATTCTGACTAACAAAATATAGACAAATTTATGCCATTCATTTTGTTGGTTGGGATAATTTTATGAAGTTATAGATAGCAAGTATAGTTTGTATATGCTTTATTATTATATTATTTCTACAGTGTCTCATTTATAAATGTTTCCCTAGTGTATCATTCCCCAATGACTAGAGTTTATTAATGAATAATTTTTCAAACTGAGAACATTGGTTATTTTAAAAGCCCTTGAAAAACTTAATATATGTCTTTGATTTGCATCTCTCTATATATACACACATAAATGTATATACAGAAATATTTTTTTACTGTCAGAGTTCTCAATTCCTATTGTGTTATCTTCAAAACATAGATTCTCCTCTATTATTGCCTGGTATTTATTGTTATGGTATGCATGACCATTTTTAAATTATTACTATATTTAAATTTTTGTATGATTAAAACCAAATGTAGCTTTCAACAATAATATAATATTAGAAAAATAATGCAAAGAGCACCAAGGCAGGAGAGAGTGGGACAGAACTACAAAATGATCAGAAAATAAGTGAGTGCACATTTGATTAAGTCCTACATACTTATTAAGGATCTATCACAAATTTAGCCCTGAGTTTCGATGCAGTCAAATAAAAGTGATTCGTAAGATAAATTTAATATGATCATGTTTACATCTTTTAAATAGCAAAATACTGGATTCAGTATGATTTTTTCCTTTAGAAACATTGTATGCTAGTTCCATTTCATTCCAAACCCTTTTCTGACTAAGATATTTATAGATTTTTTTATCATTAAAAATAAATGAATTCATCAGAATATTCATGTTATTCAGTGCCTGGCTTGTCTTTTGAAATTTCAGAATCACGTCTTCCTTTAGCTTAAAAAGGTTTGTTAATTTGTATTATATTTTGATCCTATGCATTGCTTTGTCCATTGAATTTTCCTCTTTTTTCTAGAAACTGTATAGAATTTACATCTTTCAATCTCTGAACACTCCCATTATTTTGTTTACATGCCCATTTTCTTAGTTGTTATGAAATGTCTCATTAGACTTTTTTATTCAAATCTTGTTTCTATAATGTCCAATATAAGACAAAGGCCACTGATGTATTTTTATTTCAGAAATTTTTTATTTTATTACATTTCCTGATAGAATATTACTACTTGTCAGTTCTAGGTTCATATATATAATATAATCTTAAATATAGGAGAGATTAGTATGAATATATACAAAAGGAGGTGGTTCTTATTCAAGGGTGACTTTTCTTCAAGGTTGACTCTTCCTTTGGAAGTGTTTTCGTAAAGCTGTTAATATTTTACTGATTACTTTTTTTATATGGTATTTTAGATTTGCCTTTTTATGGCTAAAATTTTAAAAGAATCTGAGATGGTGTTTATTGAGAACTGTGGGTAATATAATACATTTACCATGTCCAGATCAAAAAGGATAAAAATAATTTAGATTGGTCAAAAATTCACATAACCAATTCATTGACTCTAAATCATTGACTTAGATATCTAGAAGATATTTCATCTCTAGAAGATATTTCATGCATATTCTTTTGCCCTCTGAATTGGTAGAATAATAAATACTGGAAATAAGTATTGGCAGTTGGCAGTTCCTCTTCTATTCTTTTTTATTGTAAATTGGTTCAAGAACAAGACTCACACAGATAGCCGTATCTCTGGGAAGAAGTCTAGGACTAGTGTAAATGTTAAAGGATTAGGAGATATGTTTCTGTCTGGGAGATGACCTACTTTTTTCTAGGACATAGAAAGCTGGAAAGAGCCTTGATCTCATCCTAACAACAACAAAAAAAGAGTTGCTTGGAATCTAAGGAAAGACAGACACTTGTGAGGGGAGGTAGGATACAAGAATTGGCTCACATGTGGTAGGAAAAAGGGAGATAGAGATTCTAGGTGACGTAACAGCAGGTAAGAGAATTCCGTTAAATTGTAACAAATTACTAAAAGCTATATGTAGTCAACCTTGAGATTACATAACACTATAGGAACCACAGACAAATGGGAAGTTGGCATGATTCTAATCTTCTCTATGAACCTTGCTGGATGTTCATGAGAAAGCTTGTACACAGTGTGGGGTGCAGGGAAAGCCTCTCTTGTTGGAGAAGTTCTAAGAAAGGTGAGTAGTGTCCCTTTGGGAAAGGCAAAGTGCCACACTTGGCCAAGTCCCTCTCAAACAGGTGAAGAAAGGGCAGCATACCCTGAGGGACGCAGATAGGGGTGCATGGGGGGAATAGGAATGAACATGAAACTACCAAGGGCTTAGACCATGAAAAGGGTCCTACTGGTGAGGTAGGAACAGAAAACTCTTCCCAAAAAGATCCACCAGAGAAACTATGCAGTTTGACCCTGGGAAGCATCACAGAGAACATGATCTCAAGATGCAGAGGTAGAGACAGTCTAAGATTGATGTTGGACCAGGGACAGTGAGTACACCTGACCCTACTCCCTGTCATGCATGCATGTGTACACACACATGCCAGCACTAATTAACAAGAGCAGCAGTCAACTACTGAAGGAGGGACAAGAGTGTAGACAGAGATCACAAGTGAATCATAGGCATACAGGGAGAGTGGAAAGTTGAAAGACAAAGAGGAGCATTGAGAAAGACCATCTGGCAAGCAAAATCCCATCCAAAACATAACCGATTTTTATCAAGCCGAAAAGAAATATCAGTAGATAAAAAGCAGTCTGTTAAATAAATTGAGGTAGAACCATTAGATAGCTACATTAAATAAATTAATAAACACACTTCTGATCTTTGAAAGACCCACATTAAAAAATAAAAAGACAAGCCACAAACTGGGAGAAAACATTTGCAAACATATATTTGCTGAAGGACTTGTGTCCAACATATGTGAAAAGCTGTAAAATTTAATAAGCAAGTAAACCAGTTAAAGTAGGAAAATTATCAAGATACTTTACCAATGATATGATGGCAAATAAGACATTGGCAAAAATGCTGTACGTAACTGATCATTAATAAAATAGAAATTGAAACCACAATGAAATTCCTCTACACCTATTAGGATGACTAATATATGTGTGGTTCTTCTATAATTTATTTTCCTTCAAACAAATGATTGTGATTAGGTTGTTTCCCTTCAAGAGTCTCTATCTATTGGTTCAAGATTAACAACACAGGCTGAGGTATATATTCAGGTTTTCCAGGGCAGATGTTTTAGTGTAAGCTTAGGTTTTAATTATTTATTTGAAAAGTATTAGGTTTTAGGGTTTGCTTTTTTCTTACTGCTCTGAAGGTTTTCCTCTGAAGTTCAAGATATATGCTTTATATCTTATTGATGCAGAATATATATTTTTGTTTTGTTTCATGCACTGATCTTAAGTACACAAACATGATTTTCAAGATTTTAATATATTCACTTAACTGTTTTCAAAATATGTTTGTATGAGGTTTTATTTTTTAATTTCAAATTTTATTTTGAAATTAAAAGCTGCTCATGCACAGGTGATACATGGGCAGGTTTGCTACCTACATATAATTCCTGATGCTGCTGAGGTTTGGAGTATTATTGATTCCATCACCCAGGTAGTAAGCATAGTACCCAATAGTTAGTTTTTTAACCTTTTCCCTGCTCCTTCCCTCCTTCATTCCAGTAGTTCCCGTGTCTATTGTTGCCATCTTTATGTCCATGAGTATGCAGTTTTTAGCACACACTTGTAAGTGAGAATGTGTGGTATGAGGCTTTCTGACCAATGCAGAATATTTTCAAACAGCTTAAGTTATTTCAATTTGAGGCAACGAATCAAGGAAGTATAACTTGGCAAGGATCAGGTTATTGTATTTGCTTAATGGAAAGTGGAGAAACCAGAAATTTTTCCAAAGTGATTCCATATTATAAATTCTTATTCCATTATCGATGTCACTTAAACCGATTATTGAAGAATATAATTGAGTAAAAAGGAACTTGTTTGAAGAAGGCATTGGAAAAATCATGAAGGAATAAAATTGAAGCTCTAAACTATTTTTTTCTTTCTGCCTGCCTTCATAAAAAAAAGTGATACTTCTATTCACTTCTTCTGATAATCTAAATGCAAAGTGGGATGATCAGTGAACCTTTTAGTAACATTGGCCACTTCTTGGTATAGACTTATCAGTGTTTAGATTTTACAGGTAAAGCCTCACCAGCAATCCGTTAGGATATGATATGCTATCATACGTTTACAGAGTAGTGTGAAATTAAGTGCAAATTTGCCTTTGCTGAGAGTGTTAGCATTTTATGTCTTTTAACTTTTTGAGAAGTAAAAGATATCGGTGCTCAATTAAAAATGTTGGACATGAATGCACAGGGTGGGAAGGATGAAGGCAGATAAAAGAACATCTTAGAGACTCTAAATTTATGCCATGTAAGCTGTCTGTGCTCTACCTGCGCCAATTGTATTTATTTTCATTGGCACATTTATTGAATCTAGGTTAAAATATTTTCTATAACTCTTTAAAACAACATCAGTCAGAATTCCATGTAAATGATTTATCACCCTTCCCCCGCCCACACCTTGACAAGAACCCCTCTGAGTTTTGTATAACATCTTTCAGTTGAAAGGACATTTACAGAGAAATACGTTCATGCCATAGATTTCAGCATACACCAAGAAACAATGTGCCTTCATAATTTAGTGTGTAGTCTAAGTTAAAAACAGAACCCTCCGTGAATTATTGCTCCCTGTAGTCAAAATGTGCCTTGTTTCACTGCCCATAAAACAATATGAAAAGTGGCATTATGATGGATTCAGTAGTTATACCATATGCCAGGATATTTTTCTGAAAATATCTTCCCTTAAATATCTAACAAAACCGGTAGCTCATGATGGGTTGACACAAACCTGATGCATACGCATCTCTAAACACTTTCTGCATACTTGAAAAGGCCCTAGAGTATAGTGAAAGAACAATAAGTTGTTAGCATTATTTCAATAATTAAATAATCAGGGAGTTAGACGATGGCACTTGTAACTTCCAAGTGACTGATCTGTAGTGACATAGTCATATCCTTTAAAGGATATATGCTCACAACTTTATTAGGCCTAAATGCTATCATGCCATCTGTGACAATAATTCTAGAGTGTGTCAATTGCTTAACATTTAAATGATGCTACTCTGGAGCAATAGTAATATTTTCTAAACTAATACAATACTTGAAGAAATTTCTGTTAATGTTAATGTTATTAATAGCCAATAAGTTAAAAAATAAAAGGAAGAGTCCATTTTGGGGGTGAACAATTCATTATTTTCTACTATACAATAATGGCTTAAAAAGATAAATTTATTTTTGAGCTTTGATACAACTATTTTCAGACTTGCTTTAGAACAAAGAGGTGAATATACAAGTAAGCTTTTGCACACATCATAAGTATTCAGAAGACGTTCTAAATTTAGCATGAGGCTTGGTGCGGTGGCTCACGCCTGTAATCCCAGCACTTTGAGAGGGCGAGGCTGGCGGATTGCTTGAGCCCAGTAGTTTAACACCATCCTGGCCAAGATGGTGAAACCCCGTCTCTACGAAAAAATACAAAAATTTGCCGGGTGTGGTGGCGCAGGCCTGTAATCCCAGCTCCTGGAGAGGCTGAGGCAAGGTAATCCTTTGAACCTGAGAGGTAGAGTTTGCAGTGAGAGCCAAGATCACGCCACTGCACTCCAGCCTGGGTGACGGAGTGAGACTCTGTCTCAAAAATAAAATAAAAATACATAAAATTAAAAAAAAATGTAGCATGAAAACCTCAACTAAAATTTTCACCATCTTTTCCATCCACTCCTCTATCTCCACAGCAGAGTCAGCTGTCTGAGGAAGATATAATAAATAGACCTCAAATGAATGAATGAATAAATGAATAAAATGTTTTCTATCATTCAAGCTACTTTTTTTAAAAAGAGCAGTGTTCCAATTACTTAAAGCCCTTCATTAAACTTATGCAATCTGACATTTCTCCCTTTCTGTAGTTTCATCTCATCCTCTGTTGTCTTCTCTCCATTTGTACAGTCTTTTTTCTATCTCCACACTCTTTCCAAGTAACTATTGAAAAAGGGAAAATACCAAAACCAGCTTTTAAAATGTTTTATATGTTAAAAGAAAATTAGTTCATAATTCTAAGAAAAACTAGTAATTAGAAGTAAATTGTTATGTTTCGTTTTTTAAAAAGCTGCATGGCCAAAAAGTAATTCTAACTGGGCATAATTAGTCCCAGGTTTGATCTTTGCAGAAAAAAAGAAAAAAGAAAGGTAATAAATTTGCTGTGGATATGCTACTCAGTTTCTTTTTGGAAACAATATAAAACTATGACCATAATCTCAAATGTCCTAGTTTAAAAGTTTTGTTTGTAATGTCATAGAAATTAATATGATGGGCCAGGAGCGGTGGCTCACGCCTGTAATCCCAGCACTTTTAGAGGCTGAGGTGGGTGGATCACCTGAGGTCAGGAGTTCGAGACCAGTCTGGCCAACCTGGTGAAACCCTGTCTCTACTAAAAATACCCTAGAACTTAAAGTATAATTTAAAAAAAAAAAAGAAAGAAAAGAAAGATAAAAAAAATACAAAAATTTGCTTGGCATGGTGGCAGGTGCCTGTAATCCCAGCTACTCAGGAGGCTGAGGCAGGAGAATCACTTGAACCTGGGAGGCAGAGGTTGTAGCAGTGAGCTGAGATCGAGCCATTGCACTCCAGCCTGGGCGACAAAGCAAGACTCCATCTCAAAAAAAAAGGAAGAAATTAACATGATGAAGATGTATGCTGTGTAATAAACAGTTGATACTTTTATTCGTAGTGTATATACATGATACTCCACGTTGTTAAAAAATAAAAGATGACTGTTACTCAATTCACAATCCATCTTCGCACATTAAATTGTACCAAATAGTGTACAACTATTAGATTTTGTAAATAGGAGATGGGGCATAGAGCCTTAAGATGAGACATTATTTAATGGGTATAATGTATGTTATTCTAGTGATGGATACATTAAAAGACCTGACTTCACCACTATACAATATATCAATGTAACCACATTACGATTGGACCCTGCAAACTTATACGAATAAAATAAAATTAAAAAATAAAATTATTTGCCTATTGGTTGCATGATCTTGGGAAATTCATTTAAGACTCAGAGGTTTACTCATCTTTAGAATAGGGACATTATAAATATGTTCTACCAGAATAATTTTAATTGTTAAGAAGACAATGATAAATTACTGTGTATACTTTAAATAGTAAAATAACTATTTACTGATAACAGATTAATTTTTCTTTGCCTAGGAAACTAGGACATTGATATCTCAGGTGTACGAGGCTCTTGACTATTTTCCATGAGATGATCTTATGTAAGTTCAGCTAAGAAGAAAACATAAACTGCAACTTAAATGATATAGTACCACAAAGCTTGGGTTAGTCCATCCCCAAGAGATAGTTAATATGACATATTAGAAAGCATAACATATCTGTAAAGTTTTTATATTCTGTTTTATGTCACCATAGATCGTGCATGCTTGGTGCTTTGTAATAATTTTACTGGACATTGAAGGAGCTGTTTTTGTCTACCACTAACCCCAGAAATCAAAATGAGAAAGGAAAATATATAATAGCATGTCATGACTGTCAATCACTTTGGGTATAAAAAAAGACTGTAAGTCAGCTCACTCTTAGGAAAACAGTGACTATATCTTGTCAGGGGTCCCCAACTGCTGGTTCTGATCAGTGGTCTATTAGGAACTGGGCAGCACAGCAGGAGGTGAGGAGGTCGGGGAGCAAACATTACCAGCTGGGATCTCCCTCCTGTCAGATCAGTGGCAGCATCTAAGAGTGAAACCTATGTGAACTGCACAAGTGAAGGATCTAGGTTGGGTGCTCCTTATAAGAATCTAACTAATGCCTGATGATCTGAGGTAGAAGGAACAGTTTCATCCCGAAAATTGCCTTCCACGAAACCAGTCCCTGGTGCCAAAAAGGTTGGGGACTGCTGTTGTACATGAAGTTTTTCAATAAACTTCACATTATTTGTCCCTCCTAAGAAAGCAGGAGAGGGTTCCTCATTGTTCAGGGTTTTGAAAATATTGAAGAAATCTCCCTTCTACTAATAAACTTACAATATAAATTAATTCATTCTTAGTAGAAAATTAATTGGCTTTGTTGAAAAATGACTATAACTATAGTTGGCCTTTACTGTGCTAAATATGTGACTGCTTAAAAAAATAATTCATTTAGGGCTTGTCATGAAGTAAATCTTATCTCTAGCCAAGAAGTGCCTTAAATAGTTTCTTAGTCATTTACAGATGATGAAGTGTCTCTTCATGTTACAATATGATAGCCCTGTAGTCGTTGTTCTGGCAAAAGCACATTATTTGGATGAAACATAGATCATGATATTTTTTAATTTGATACTTTTCAAAGTTCTCAAATAAGTTCATTGTTTGAGGGGATTCTACTTGGTTTAATCCTTATATGATCATGATTTATTGATCATGGATTGGGAAATTTATTATTATAAAATTATCCTTTTAGTTGAGGTTTCTTATGCACCTACGAGGACATTATTAAATGTTTTTATTTTTCTAATGTGATTAAGAACCTCCTGAACATCTTGTCTTAATCTAGACGAACCTGAGGATAACACAGTAATCAGGTCTGCTGAAACAGGTTATCCTATATAGCTGTGTATTTGCAAACTTAGGTCCTGAGTTAGGCTTGATTTGCCCTTAGAGCTCGTTTCTATTCCAGGAACATGGGGCATTATGTCTTAGTTGTAAAAATGGTTATTATATTAACAAGACCTCTAGATCTTACGGAAGCCACCTTCTTCTCTCAGATTATTCATCTCCATTTCTTGGTCTTTTGACATTGATTCTAATAAATTTGGGGCTCAAAACAGCTGCAAAAGATGTATCTGTTAATCCTTAGAACTTACTTTACTATAAGCTAATAGCTAATTATTATAACAAATAATTTATAAGGTAAATTCTTTGATGCCCCCAAAGCTAAACCATTATGAGTAAGATGAATGAGATGTATAATAACATATTTGGTTGGGAAACAAATACAATACAATAAATCATCACAATTTATGTGCCTGTTGCTAATTAAAAGCAATGTTTATGATGGTTATTTCTGATGTCCTTTTGCATTTGAATACTTCAGAGTATTGATTTGGTACATTGTAAAGCAAATCCTTCACTTATTTTACTTCTTTTCTTCACTCCTCCTCTTACTTTTTGATGTTAATATTAGTAATTCAGAAAGAAAAATAAAATTTTCTAATTTTTCCCCAAAATATATTGCTTCTTATGTTAACAATTTTAGTGTCATTTTTCAATGTCTTAACATCATGAGAGTTGGTAAATTTTATTTTGAAAATTAAAATATAAAAGCCTACAGGAATTTCATCCATAAATGCACTTAATTTAGACCAACTTAAATTTAAAATTATATTGTCAGAAAGTCTTGTTAGTTGAAACTCACTCGATTCTTGGAAATTTCATTAATAGTTCAAAGAATGGTGGGTTAATAGAATGAGTCCTGAATTAATATCTTGTCTCTGTCACCAATAACACTGGGAGCCTTCAGCAAGTTGCCTATAATCTCTTATGCATTTCTATTTATAGGTAGACTGGAATAAATATTACTGCCTTAAATTTTTAAAGGAAAATATATATTTTTTTATTCTTCAGTGTTTTTCTATACATTGGCAGGAACAGGATGAATATAAGAGTTTGCTAAATGCTGAGTGCAGTGGCTCACACCATTAATCCCAGCATTTTGGGAGGCCAAGAAAGGTAAATAACTTGAGGCCAGGAGTTCAAGAGGAACCTGGCCAACATGGTGAAACCCCATCTCTACTAAAAATACAAAATATAGCCAGGCGTGGTGGCACACACCTGTAATACCAACTGCTTGGGAGGTTGAGATGTGAGACTTGTTTGAACCTGGGACATGGAGGCTGCAGTGAGCCAAGATTGCTCCACTGCACTCCAGCCTGGGTGACAGGGAAACTCAGTCTCAAAAAAAAAAAAAAAACTAAAGAAAATAGAAGCACTAGTGCACAGACTTTGGATGTCTTTCAGTGTACAAAGTGACCCAACAGAGGAGAAAAGCTCAAGGTGAGCAAGCACCATTTGTGTCCGTGTTTACTGTCTGGTGAGAGTCTCCAGTTGGCACAGCGCAATGGGGGAATCTGAAGGAGCCTGACAATATCCTTGAGTTGAGGAGATGGGGAGATGGTATTGGCAGTCCCAGATGGCTATAGTTTGCATGTGATAATAACAGAAGGAGAGAGATGCAGAGAGATCTGCACAGCTTCTCATCCAGTCCTCAGTTAAATGGCCATTTGGATATGCATAAGAGGAAATTATACACATTTGGGGGAACAAAAAACATGAAAGAAGAAGCTGGTACAATCCCCAGTTTTCACAAAGACTGGAAATGATTTGCAATTTTACCAGTAACTGGGGAAACAACTCCTCATAATTTTACAAGACATCAGGTAAGTAAGTATTCAGAAAGTTATTGCCTTGGTATTTGAGGAAAATTAGCTTCTGATGAAAGCCTGCCTTTATCTTGCCTAACAAAATTAATATGCAAGTTTCAAAGGATTAACCTATTTCCAAGTAACTTATTATGCCCAAGTAACATCAAAATACATTTATAAGTATACAAAACTACTCAGCACCCAACAAGGTAGAACTCATAGTATCTGCCATCCAATAAAGAAATTACTAGGCATGAAAAAAAAAGAAAATATGACCCACAAAGGATAGAAAAAAAAAGCAGACACAGAAAAGATTTAGATGATGGAATTAGTAGGCAAGAATATCAAAATTATTATAATTTACCATATGTTCAAGAAGGTATAGTAACATGAGCGTGTTAAGTAGAAACATTGAAGATGTAAAAATGACTGAAATCAAACTTCTAGTGATGCCAATTACAGTGTCTGAGATTTAAAAAAAATCTACCAGGTGAGATTTAAAACAGATTAGACACTGTCAAAGAAAATAATAAATTTAAAGACATAGTAATAGAAACTATTCAAAACAAAATATGTATTAAACAACATCTATAAGAAATGAACAAATACTCATTTTCTAGGAGAGTATTACTCTGACACCAAAGCCAGGAAAAAGAAATCTCAAGAATATTTAAAGATACATCCATATATCACATGAATGTAGATGTAAAAATCATCAACAAAATATTACTAAACCAAATTCAGCAATGTATAACTGGTATTATACATAATGACGAGTTTACTAGAACAAAGAAGTTAACCAAGGTCAGAAAATAAAATGTCAACATATATATTGTATATTTATATAATAATGATAAAATATGTAAATAAAATTAAGAAAATAATTCCATTAACAATAGAACATCAGAAAGAATAAAATACTGAGGAATAAACTTAACAAAATAAGTGAAATTATATATGCTAGAAACTACAAAATATTACTAAAATACTTTAAAAAAAACCTAATATGAAGTCACATCAGATTGTCATGTTGGAAGACTAATTATTATTGCAGTGGAAATTCTCCCCAAGTTAATCCAATGCACCATCAGATTTTCATGTTGGAAGACTGATTATTATTGTAGTGGAAATTCTCCCCAAGTTAATCCAATGCACCATCAGAAATAGAAAAGATGATCTTAAGATTTTTTTTTTTAATTTTAATTTTAATTTTTGAGACAGAGTCTCACTCTGTCACCCAGGCTGGAGTACAGTGGAGCAATCTTGGCTCACTGCAACCTCTGCCTCCTGGGTTTAAGCGATTCTTGTGCCACAGACTCCCAAGTACCTGGGATTACACCACACTCAGCTAATTTTTGTATTTTTAGTAGAGATGGGGTTTTGCCAAGTTAGCTAGGCAAGTGTCAAAATCCTGGCCTCAAGTAATCCGTCTGCCTCACCCTCCCAAAGTGCTGGGATTACAGGCTTGAGTCACCACACCTGGCCAATCTTAAGATTTTTAAAGAAAAAAAAAAAAAAAGGAACCAGAAGTAGACAAATGAGAAGAACAAAGGTTTAGGTCATATACTTCCTGATTTCAAAACTTAACTATGACATAAAAAATATATATGTATATACATATTAATATGGCAGTCCAGAAATTGAAATAAATTCTTGAAATTGCAGTCCAATGATATTGAAGTAAAGAGGTAAACCTTTACATCTATGAGAAATTGATTTCTGACAAAAGGGCTAAGGTATTTAATAAGGGAAATAAAATACTTTAAAATAGGTGCTGGGACAATTGCATATTCACAAGTTAAAAAGTAAATTTGCACTTTTACCTTACACCATACATAGAATTTAACTATAAATGAATCATAGACAAAAATATAAGATTTAAGTTTTAAAGCTCTTAGAACAAAACAAAAGAAAATATTGCTATGATCTTGGGTTGTTATAATTTTTTGTTTAGAAATAACAAAAGCATAAGTGATTTCAATATTAATAAGACTTCATCAAACGTCATACTTTTGCACTTCAAAATGTAGCATTGAGAAAGTAAAAAGGCAAACCGAGGAATAAGAGAATGTATTTGGAAATATATCAAATGAGAAATTTTATACAGCTTATATATTTTTTATAAAAAACCTCTACCACAAAAATATGAAGACAAGAAAATAAAAGATGTAAATAGGGATTTCCTCAAAGAACATACAGTTGGGCCATGGGTTCCACACCCATGTATTCAACCAACCATGGATCAAAATTTTAAAAATAGTAATAATAATAATACAATGAGATTTGAGACAAGGTGTCCAACTAGTCGCAGTTAGTTGGACATCTGCCACCATAGTACTGGGACACTAAGAAGACTAGTGCATTCCTAGCATATGTTCATAAAGAAGGCATTGAGGGTTGACAGAGAAAAGGTACAGATGCTGGGCTGAACTGGGAGGAAGCTGAGAACCCTGTATGAGGCTACCACACTCTAGGACTCATTCCTGGCCCCCAGGTACTCCTGGGAAAAAGGTGAATTGAGCAGGTGAGGAGTGACCTGCTCTCTCCATTGACCTCTGGAATCCTGGTAGCAAGAGACCCCATGAAACCCAACACTTGAGCCTGGAGAGAGAACTGCTTAGAGAGTTGGTAGGAGCAGGACTTCAGCCCATGTGGAGCCCAGAGGATTTGGGGCAAAAATGTCTGCAGAGGAGCATGGACAGAGATGCCCATCCTCGAAGGCTGCTTTTCTCCCCCGTATGAGACTCTAGCCTTAAGGGAACTTTCAGACTTTAACAGGGCAATTTTGCCCGTGAGATAGGACCAGTCTGACCTGAGGGCCCCTCTGTATGCTGGCCTCTCCCAGGGTCCTGTGCACTCGCCGTGCTGGTGCTGCTGCTGAGATGAGAGAAGGAGCATGAGCAAATGAGCATAAGTCCTGCTGCCACCACCCAATGAAGCACTTTTGCTGGCAGCTCACTTTGGAGTGCTGCAGTCAGCAATCCAGGAATACCTCAACCCCTCCAACACAGCAGGCACAGCAGCTTCCCAAATTCGAGGGGACGGAGAACAAAGCTGGGGGCCTGTTACCAGTCCCCAAGAGTTAGAGTCCACAGCCCAGGAGTGCGGAGCTGAGTCTTGGCCCCTCCATAATCTATAAGAAAGAAAGCTAGTCTACTGAATTCACCTTACAACACAATCAAACTCCCAAAGACATCAAACAAAATAAAAGAAAAAAAAATCCAAAAGACAGCACATTCAAATATTGAAAGAACATCACCCATAAAGATGAGAAAGAACCAGCACAGGAACTCTGGCAACTCAAAAAGCCAGAGTGTCTTCTTACCTCTAGATGACCACACTAATTCCTCAGCAGTAGTTCTCAACCAGGTTGAAATGGCTAACATGCCGGAAATTGAATTCAGATTATGGATAAGAATGACATTTATTGACATTCAAGAGAAAGTTGAAACCTAATCCAATGATTCTAAGGAACAAACTAATATGATTCAGAAGATAAAAATGAAATGGCCATTTTAAGAGCTGGTACTATTCTTACTGAACCTATTCCAAAAAAATGGAGGAGGAAGAACTCTCTAATTTATTCTATGAGGCCACCATTATCCTGATACCCAAACCTATCAGACATACAACAAAAACAACAAAACTTCAGGCCAATATCCTTGATGATCATAGATGCCAAAATCCTCAACAAAATATTAGCAAATCAAATCCAGCGGTACCTCAAAAATCTAATCTCCCATGATCAAGTAGGTTTTATCCCTGGGATGCAAAGTAGCTTCAATATATGCAAAATAATAAATGTGATTCATCACATAAACAGAACTAAAAGCCAAAAACACATGATTATTTCAACTGATGCAGAAAAGGCTTTTGATAATTTCAATGTCTCTTCATTTTAAGAACTCTCAATAAACTAGGCATTAAAGGAACATGCTTCAAAATAGTAAGAGCCATTTATGACAAACTCACAGCCAGCATCATACTAGATGTGCAAAAGCTGGAAGCATTTCCCTTGAAAACCACAACAAGACAAAGATACCTACTCTCAGCACTCCTATTCAACACAGTACTAGAAGTCCTGGCCAGAGCGATCAGGCAAGAGAAGAAATGAAGGGCATTCAAGCAGGAAGAGCAGAAATCAAACTATCATTTTCTGCATATTGTATAATTCTACATCTCGAAAAATCTATAGTCTCAGCCCCAAAGCTCCTCCAGCTGATAAACAACTTCAGCAAAGTTTCAGGATACTAAATGAATGTACAAAACTCAGTAACATTCCTATACACCAACAATATCCAAGCTGAAACCAAATCGAGAACACAATCCCATTCACAATAGCCACGCAAAGAGGAAAATATATAGGAATACAACTATCAATAGAGGTGAAAGATCTCTACAACAAGAATTACAAAACATTCCTCAAAGAAATCAGAGATGACGCAAATGATAACGTATTTCATGCTCATGGATTAGAAGAATCAATATTGTTAAAATGGCCATACTATACAAAGCAATTTATAGATTTAATGCTATTCCAATCAAATTACCAATGACATTCTTCACAGAATTAGAAAATAAACTATTTTAAAATTTATGTGGGACCAAAAAAGAGCCCAACTACCCAAGGTATACCTAATCAAAAAGAACAAAGCTAGAGGCATCATGTTACCCAATTTCAAACTATACCGTAATACAAAGCCACCTTAACTAAAACAGCATAGTACTGGTACCAAAACAGACATGTAGTCCACTGGAACAGAACAGGGAGCCCAGAAAAAAGGCCACAAGCCTACAGCTATCTGATCTTCAACAAGCTGACAAAAGCAAGTGATGGAGAAAGAACATCCTATTCAATAAATGGGGCTAGGATAACAGGCTAGTGATGTGCAAAAGATTGAAACTGGACCCCTTCCTTATATCATATACAAAATTCAACCCAAGAAGGATTAATGACTTAAATGAAAAACCTAAAACTCTGAAAACCTTGGAAGATAATGTAGGAGATACCATTCTGGACAGAGGACCAAAGATTTCATGACAAGTCACCAAAAGCAATTGCAACAAAAACAAAAATCGACATATGTGACCTAATTAAACTAACGAGCTTCTGCACAGAAGAAACTAGCAACAGAATAAAGAGACAACCTAAGGAATAGGAGGAAATATTTGCAAACTTGCATTAGACAATGGTGTAATATTCAGAATCTATAAGGAACATAAATTTACAAAGAGAAAACAAACAACCCCATTAAAAAGTGGGCAAAAGACATGAACAGACACTTGTCAAAAGAAGACATATGTAGGGCCAACAAGCATGTGAAAAAATGCTCAACATCACTAATCGTTAGAGAAATCGATATCAAAACTGCGATGAGATAGGTTTCTCACTCCAGTCAGACTATTAGTAAAAAATTTGAAAATAACGGATGCTGGTGAGTTTGCAGAGAAAGGGGGAATCCTTATAAACTGGTGGTGGGAATGTAAATTGGTTTAGCTATTGTGGAAAGCAGTTTAGCAATTTCTCAAAGAATTTAAAATAGAATTACTGTTTGACCCAGCAATTCCATTATTGGGTATATAGCCAAAAGAATATAAATCATTCTATCATAAAGACACACACTTGTATGTTCATCAAAGCTGTATTCACAATAGCAAAGACATGGAATCAACCTAAATGCCCAACAATGGTAGACAGGATAAAGAAAATATGGTACATATACACCATGGAATACTATACAGCCATCAAAAGAATGAGATCATGTCCTTTGTGCAACATGGATGGAGCTGGAGGTCATTATCCTAAGCAAACTAGCACAGCAACAGAAAACCAAATACTTCATGTTCTCACTTATAAATGGGAGCTAAACATTGAGTAAGTATGGACACGAAGAAGGAAATGACACTCACCAGGGCCTACTTGAAGGTGAGGGTGGAAGAAGAGTGAGGATCAAAAAACTACCTATCGGTACTATGCTTATTACCTGATTGATGAAATAATCGGTACACCAAAGCACCGAGACACGAAATTTACCTATATAAGAAACCTATACATATACCCCTGAACCTAAAATAAAAATTAATATAAGTAAAAAACAATACAGTAAAAAAGATTTACAAACATTTACATTGTATTATGTGTCATGAATAAGCTAAAGATCATTTAAGTATAGAAGATGTATATAGGTTATATGTAAATACTGTGCCATTTTACACTGAGGACTTGAGTATATTTAAATTTTGTTATCTGTGGGGGTCCTGACACAAATCCCCCATGGATTCTGAGGGATGACTGTATATAATATCACAAGTACATGCAAAGATGTTCAATGACATTAGTCTTAAGGAAAACGCAAGTCAAAATTACAGGAAATATTACCTCACACCCACTAGGTTACTAAAATAGAAAAGAAAGGCAATAACAAGTATCAATGAGATTTTTACAAATTAGAGCCCCATACACTGCTGTTGGGAGTATAAAATGCTGTAGCCACTTAAGAAAATGATTTGACAGTTTTTAAGATGTTTAAAAATATGTTTATCATATGACAAAACAAGTCCACTCCACTGCAACCTCCACCTCCCAGGTTCAAGCAATTCTCCTGCCTCAACCTCCCTAGTAGCTGGGAGTACAGGCTGCCGCCACCATGCCTGGCTAATTTTTTTTTTTTTTTTTTTTTTTTTTTTAGTAGAGACGGTGTTTCACCATGTTGACCAGGCTGGTCTCAAACTCTTGGCCTCAACTGATACACCCACCTCGGCCTCCTGAAATGCTGGGATTACAGGTGTGAGCCACTGCGCCCAACCCTATAGCAACCCGTTTATAATAGACAAAAAGTGGAGACAATCCAGAAGTCCATAAATTGATGAATGGCTACACAAACCTGGCATATTTATACAATGGAATATTACTCAACATCGGAGGAAAATACTAATACATGCTACAATATGTAGATAACTTCAAAAATGTTATGCTAAGTGTAAAAGCCAGGCATTTTAAATATTATAAAATTTCACTTATATAAAATATCCAGAAAAGGAAAACCTATGGAGACACAAAGTAGATTGTTTGTTGTTTGGTGCTAGGGTTGATAGTGGGAAGTGACTACAAATGTGAATGAGGGATCTTTTGAATGTGAAAGAAATGGTCTAAATTTGGATTGTGATAACAGTTTCACAACTCTGTTAATTTCACCAAAATTTTAAATTATACGCATAAAAAGTACACATTTTATGGTATGATAGTTATACCTCGATAAGATTTTCTAAAATATACAACGACAGAGCGTCAATAAGTTCTGAATCAACATAAAAATGCCACAGCACAGTAACTGGATGACAGAATGAAGTGAAAAAGACAGAAAAATTTCATAAAATAATATCTGAAAATGTTTCAAATTTGATGAAAATTAATAACCTACAATTCCAATAAGTCCAAGGAATCCCAATGATAAATATGAAGATTGCTACATAATACTTATAATCAAACTGCTTAAAATGAGTGAAAACCAGAAAAATGTGAGAACAACTCTAATCAAAATAAATATTACATACAGAGAATGACCAGTGGCTCACACCTGTAATCTCAGCACTTTGGGTGGCCAAGGTGGGTGGATTCCTTGAGCCCAAGAGTTCAAGACCAGCCTGGGCAACATAGTGAAGCCCCAGCTCTTCAAAAAATACAAAAATTAGCCATGCGTGATGACAGGTGCCTGTTATCCCAGTTACTCGGGAGGCTGAAATGGGAGGATTGCTTCACCCTAGGAGGTTGACGCTGCAGTGAGCTGAGGTCACTCCACTGCCCTCCAGCCCGGATAAGAAAGTGAGACCCTGTCTCAAAAAATAATACGAAAGTTGAAATAATCCATCACTAGCAGTTCTACAATATAAGATATTTTAAAGAAAGTAACTCACAAAAAAAAAGATAGCAAATGGAAATCTGGTTTTCCTCCAAAGGAATAAAAGGCAATAATAATGGTAGTTATATAAAATAGATTTTTATTCCAATATCTTTTATGTTTTGAGGTTTATAGACAAAAATAATAATAATGTAGTTGGGGTTTGTAACCTATGTACATGGAACATGAAGATATAAAAATCTATACTCTAAACACTAAAGCAACCACTAAAATAAAACAATGAATGGGCAAATATAATGAATCAAAGAAAAAATGGAATAAAAATCTGTAATCACATCAAAAGAAGGCAAACAATAAAGGGAAACAATGGATGAGACAAAGGTAATACAGCTCGCAGGATGGAGAGTTTAAACCCAAGCTGATCAACAATCATATCAAATGGAAATAGTCTGAACAATCTAATTGTAAGGCAGAGATTATCTTATCATCAGAAAAAATAACTAATGGGTACTAGGCTTAATTCCTGGGTGATGAAATAATCTGTACAACAAACCCCCATGAATATTCTGTACAACAAACCCCAAGTTTACCTATGTAACAAACCTGCACATGTAGCCCTGAACTTAAAAGCTGAAACAAAGTAAGCTTCAGCTGTATGCTATCTATGAAAAGTCCACCTTAAGTATAAAAATGCCAATAGATTAAGAGGAAAAAGAGGGAAAAGCTCTTCTTTGCTGTTCCTAAAAGGTGCACTTGATTGTTTATATTAAGATCACACAAAGTAAATTTTATTATTTTTTTACATGATTTAATTATTATATATAATCATACATGTTAACATTTATATATATATATATAATTTATTTTGTTGTTGGCTCATTAGGGCATATTAAGCTGCTTGTTAATACTCCTGTAAAGAAAGAATAGACAATTGTGTTCTGAAAATGGCTCCCCACAATGTCGTCATAATAGAGCTTCCCAGGATAATTTCAACCATATAGCCCAAGAAAGTTAGCTCTCAAAATAAAGCAGTTTTTGTAAACACCCATGAAATAATGTCCTTCATTCGGGATTTTGATCAAGTTGCTCTGGCCTTTCTCACTGAACCCAAAAATTTTAAATACATTTTTCAGATTAAGATCAAATAGAGCATTCATGGGAAACTTTCTCCATGATAGTCAGTTAGAATCGATCCCACTCCTCTTCCTACCTGAGCCCCCATTCAAGGTCTTTCCTCATTCTGCCTTGCATTAAATCTTATTAATGAGTACAGTTGAGCTTATTCATAGAGTCTATGAAGACTGGACTCTGTAAAACAGGCATCTTTAATCAATTGTACTTTGTAGCACTGTGCTTTGCACAGAGTGGACATTCGGTACATTTTGTTGTCATAACATATTCACCTGCATTGAAGACCCACTCTCTGCCAGAAGAAACTTACACTTTAGGGACTCCTCTGAGGATGACCAAAAGGGAATCTTTGCAGAGACGTCAATGCTATCAACTCCTCTGAGTTCTCATAAAGAACTCAGGGAGATTATGGTTCCCAGTGCTCTTGAGCATTCCCAGGGACTCTCATCAGTGAACAAACCAATAAACACTCAGGAATAAGGAACATCAATGTATCTGTTCCTTTAAAACCTCCAGAAAAATTCTGGCATCTAATCTTTCTTAAATGAGATTGTTACCTGCTGTTTCTGCTGGAGGAGGTTTGATGGGACTTCGGAATTCAGAGTGTTTAGGTTCATCAGAACTCATGCAAATGTTTCTAATCCAGTACTCAGAAGTAAATTTTAGAACAAATATAACCTGAGATAAAGATGTCATTTAAGAATCATAACAGTGTCAATTCAATAAGACAACGATTATGGACTGAATGGCTGTGTTCCCCCAAAATCATATGTTGAAATACTAACTCACAATATGATGGTATTAAGAGTTTAGGTCTTTGGGAGGTAGTTAGATCATGAGGCTGTCTCCACCTGAGTTTCAAAAGGTAGCACCAGTGCCACTGAGATCTGCAGGTGCAGGACACCTACCCTTTAAAACGATGCAGGTAGGACCATTCCCCCAGTGGGTCTAGAAGGCAGAGCATCAGGAGAAATAAAACTATTCTCAGATAAGACTTGGTAGAGTTTGACTGTGTATGTTTGGGACTTGCTTGAGACCCGTCATTCCTTTCTTCTTTTTTATTTCTCCCTTTTGGAATGGGAATATCTATCTTATGCCTTTCACACTCCTGTATTTTGGAAGCACATAACTTGTTTGTTTTCACAGATTCACAGCTATAAAGCAATTTAACTTTTAGATAAGTTTTACCTCAAATCTCACCTATAACTGATTTACATAATATTTAGATGAGACTTTGGCCTTTGTATTTTAGAGTTGTTGATGGAAAGAGTTAAGTGTTTCAGGGCTATTGGGATAAAATGATTGTATTTTGCATTTGAGAAAAACATGTATTTGGTGAGCTAGGAGAAGAATTTTATTGACTACATGTTTGTATTCTCCTAAAATTAATATGTTGAAAACTGCTCTCCTTCTCTTTCTCTCTGCTGTCTGTCATTTGATGAGGCAAAAAGAAAACAGCCAACTGCAAATTAGGAAGTGAGTTTTCACCAGACAGCAGGTCTCTGGGCACCTTGATATTGAGCATCCCAGTCTTCACAATTATGAGAAGTAAATACTTGTTGTTTAAGCCACACAGTCTATAATGTAGATTTACAGGCTGTACAATATTCAGTATTTTCATGTGCACTAATATACTAAGGTAGTTCACACTCTGGGCTACAAACAAGTGTAAATTCATTTTAGAGGTGTATGTTACACAAAGTATGTAATTTGACAACAATGTTATTAAAGTGGAAATCAAAAAATATAAAGATTTCTGGAAATACTCGAATCTCTCGAAACTAAACCTTAGTATTAGGTATCCCAGTCTCCAGAATTATGAGAAATAAATACTTGTTTTTTTTTTAAGCCACACAGTCTATGGTATATTTGTTATAGCATCCCAAACTGACTGAAACAAGTATAAACAAAATTTCTAAATAATCAGGTACCTAATAAAAGTATTTCAAAATAAATGGAACAAAAACTGACATGTGAAAAACAAAATTAGGCAAATTCTTAAAGATTGGATGTTTCAGCACTTCACTCTCAATAATTAATAGAATGTTAGACAGAAACTCTATGTATGAAACACTTGAACTTGACCTAAATTACATTTATAAAACATTTTACTGAAAAGTAGTACAATATTCAGTATTTTCAGGTGCACTTATCACACTCTGAGCTACGAACAAGTGTAAATTCATTTTAAGGGTTGAATAATATACAAAGTATATTCTTTGAAAGCAATATTATTAAAATGGAGATCAAAAAATATAAAGATACCTTGAAATGCTGTAATCCCTTGAAACTAAACTGCATACTTTCAAATAACTGATAGGCCAAAGGAAAAATCAAGAAAAAAAATTAGACAGCATTTTGAAGATAACAAAATAAAAATACAGATGTCAAAAGTTGTGTTTTAAGGTATGTAAGGCAGTTCTTAAGAGAAAATTGATAGCACTAAATGTTTATATTGAAAAAGAAAGAAGACCTTGAATCAATGTCATCTTCCACTGTAATAATTTTTAAAAAAGAGCAAGTTACAAAAAAGCAGAAGAAGAGAAAGAATACAGAAATTTAATTACACCATAAGCTGTTTTTTTAAATAAAGTTAATAAAATTGATAAAACTCTAGTGGCAAGGATCAGGCAAAAAGGCTACAGAAGATATAAATTACCAATGTCAAGAATGAAAGAGGGGACATCAATACTGCTCCTACAGATATTAGGAAAAAAATAAGTTAATATTATGAACAACTTTATGCTAATATATTTGATTTTAAAAGAAATGCATGTTTTTGAAAGATATAAACTTCCAACACTTACTTGATAAGAAATAGATGACTCAAATATCCATATACCTATTAAGTAAATTAAATTTGAGGTTAAACACAAATTTATCAAATTTCCACAAATAAAAGTCAAGACTCAGATGGCTTCACTGATGATTTCTACCAAAGATTTAAAGAAGAAATAATACTTCACAGAGAATTCTATAAAGTTGAGTTATATGAGGCCAACATCACCCTGAAATATAAATGAGATATAGATATTAAATTAATATTATAAACTAATATCTCACATGAGCATGGATATAAATATAAAGAATGTGTGGGTGGTTAGAGGAAGATATGTTCATTGAGATACCTAAGCATGGTTAGAGAAATTGCAGCCCTGTCAACTGCTGTACCAGAAATTATAAGAATTTAAGAAATCTGTAACTGACAATGGGATCAATAATTTTATAATTACATGGAAAACAGTTTAGAAACCATCGAAGTAAAATGCAGACATATATTTCTTGTTCTTGAGTCAGTGTTTTTTTCAAAAAGACAGGCAACCTAGTATCCACTTAACACCCACTAGTAATAATTACTGTCTTAATCCAGGTCCTCTGGTTAGCAGATGCCAAGACTTGATTAATATGCATGAGTTTGTATTATGAGAGAACATGTGAAAGAAATAGGTAGAAAGGAGCTTGAAGAGTAGGCATCTCACCATGCAAGTCTGACCCTGAATAAAGAATAGAGCGAAGGAGATGGATGGGTGGAAGAGAGTTAAATATTCATACTGTCTACGGAAATTTTAACGAGGTCATCAGGGATTTCTCAACCAGAGGTCGCTCAGCAGATGAAACCTGTGCCTCCAAGGAATGGACTTGCCCTAGGACACAAGCTATAAGCTATAACCAGCCATCTGCCAGAAGCAGTTGAAGAGGAAATGTGTTCTCAGTGAAGGAGTGAACATAGATTTCAGACTACAGAAACTGAAGTGCTTGATAAATTATGTTCCCTGTGGTTGGAAATCTATGGCATACATTTTTATAACTACCATAGTTCACCATTTGTGCTGTGCAAATATAAATTTATTATAGATTTGGGGAGCAAATTCTCCATGGTTCCTGTGGGTCTTTCCTCCCAGTGTGAAACTCAGGAGGAGTTGGTAGGATGAACTTCAAACTCTGTTGCTACACTTGATCATCAGACCATAACCGATTCTCTTCTTTCTCTATTTTAAATTTCCCTATTGATTTTACATTTTTCTCATGCTCTCTTGGGTGTCTTGGTGGCTTACCTGTTTTGTGATCTTTACCTTTATTCCTGAATTATCTGAATCATTGATGATATCCTTCTTTTTTCTTTTCTTTTTTTTTTTTTTTTTTTTTTTTTGGTGAGATGGCGTCTCGCTCTGTCACCCAGGCTGGAGTGCAGTGGCGTGATCTCGGCTCACTGCAAGCTCCGCCTCCCGGGTTTACGCCATTCTTCTGCCTCAGCCTCCCGAGTAGCTAGGACCACAGGTGCCCACCACCACGCCAGGCTAATTTTTTGTATTTTTAGTAGAGATGGGGTTTCACGTGTTAGCCAGGACGGTCTCGATCTCCTGACCTGGTGATCCACCCACCTCGGCCTCCCAAAGTGCGGGGATTAGAGGCGTGAGCCACCGTGCCAGGTGATAATGATATCCTTCTTAATCTTAAGTTGCTACCTGTCCTTTTTTCACACTTACACTGGTGGAAGAAATACTAGTGGGTGCTTACATAAATCACCTGAGTTCCATGTACATTCTCCCTGCCTCCTGCTGATTAGGGTCAAATACCTCACCGATATAGTATTCTTGGCTTTATATGCGTAAGAAATCCTGTTAGACTATGAAAGCACCTCTATCTTGTATTCCATGGTACCCTTAGTTTTCTTCCCTAGTAAAAGTTTATCCTTTTTGGAGATCAGAAATTCCAAACCTGTGCATTCCAGAGTTTTGTGGACAAGAAATACAATATTCTTCATTGGGTCAATGGAAGTAATATTAAGTGGAACTATTCCTGTTGAATCCTTTGGTTCCCAGATTCATAATCTTGCTATGACGTAGCACAATATAGAATTGCCTTATTCAATACATACACTACACCCTAAAAGGTAACCTCATTGTTTTATCCTGTTTCTTCTGAGTTGTGTTTCCTCTACACATATAAAAGGCTGTTAGAGTTTCAAAGAGGTTCTTTGCCTCTAGATGATATACTAAGGTAATATGACCAGTAAATATTATGGCCATAGGTTTACTACCACTTTATTTGATGTAAAGTGGTTTCCTTGGCTGGGTATTTTGTAGTATGGAATTCCATACCTGGAGATCAGGCATTTGGTAAGCCCCTGGAAAACGATGGTAACTGAGGGCCTTCAGGCAGAAAGGGTAAACCAACATCCACATAAAAATAAAACCCTGGTGAGTGGAAGGAGTCAATTTCATCAGCTTGCTTGCAAGTGGCTTATTCTTCTTGAGGAACAGTACTGGATCAGGGCCTCAATGCTAATCTCTGCTGATGAGGAGTTGGGCATTAAGAGGTAACAATAG
This sequence comes from Homo sapiens, assembly GCF_000001405.40. NCBI lineage: Eukaryota > Metazoa > Chordata > Mammalia > Primates > Hominidae > Homo > Homo sapiens. Next base: position 80,827,914 of record NC_000003.12, read on the forward strand.
CTAAATCAGCCTTCTATTTGGTAAATGGAAGTCCATTTAGTTGGGCATCTTTCTCTGCCACAATGGTCATCACATTCATTTGGTCACTATGCCTGTTCTAAGGAAGTCAGTGATGAAGGTTGATTAACCTCCACTGGCCCAATCATTTTTTCTATTTACCTATCTACTTGCTTCTCCTGTAAAGAATGCTTTCTGTTGGGCACTAATACATAAAAATCTTATTTTTTTTCCACTTCCATATGTCCATTGACACGACCACTTCAGATCTTGTGATGGTTAATATTAAGTGTTAACTGAACTCCATTGAGGGATGCCTAGATGGCTGATAAACTATTGTTTCTGGATGTGTCTCCAGAGGAAACTGATGTGTGTGAGTCAGTGGACTGGGAGAGGAGGACCCACTCTCAATGTGTGTGGGCACCATCCAATCAGCTGTCCACATGCACAGCTAGAACAAAGCAAGTGAAAAATGATCATTCAGTTTGTTGTGTTACCTGGCTTTCTCTCTGCTGAATTGTCTCATTCCCCATCTTGCAGAGAGCCTATCATGAGACTTCACTTTTGTAATTGTGTATATACATGCACACACATACACACACACACACACACACACACACACACAACCCTCCTATTGGTTATGTCCCTCTGGAGATCCCTGACTAATACAGACCTCCTTATTTCCAGTATTCCAATCCCTCCCTTGCCAGACTCCTGAGTAAAGGTCCAGCCATTAGTCACTGCCAAGCAATCTGTCTGTATTCTCACACTTGGACACATCCTTCTAAACCAAGAGGAAGACCAGGTAGAATGCTCACAGCTATACCCACTTGAAAGATTTTTGTTTCCCATTAACTTTCAGAGTCATATCTGAAGGAGGCTGTAATGTTAATTGCCATCCATTTTAAGCTTGCATGTACTTGGGATTATTCATTCATAAACCAACTTTTGGCTTTCTCCACCTGTTTCAGCTGGTTGTAGAGTATCTCCTCCTATTGCCTGAGGTACATTTGCAAGATCCTATTTCCAAATAAGGTTGCATTTACAGGAACCAGAGTTTGGACTTCAATATATCTTCTTGAAGAAACAATACAATCCACAACATTTGGTGTCCCATATTCAACTGTGCTGCCTCTACAAGTTCTACTAAGAGCTGTTTCTTATTCTTTTTCCTTTCTTTCATTCTTCATGTTTTTTTGTAAAAGTTTTATTGAGAAATAAGTCACATAATATATATTTCACTCATTTAAATAATACAATTCAGTGGTTTTTAGTGCATTCATTGAGTTGTGCGACCATCACCACAATCAATCAATATTCATCACCTCCAAAAAGAAACCCAAACCACTTAGCAGTCATTCCTCATCACTCCCTCATATACCACAAACCTATTCAATCATTGTCTCCATAAATTTCCATGTTCTAGACATTTCATATGAATTGAATCATATTATATGTGCTCATTTATAAATGGCTTCTTTTACTTATCATAACATTGTCAAGGTTCATCCATGTTGTAGCATGCATGTTAAAAGTCTTGTAAGTGGTTATTAGCTACTGCTGTATATCTTCTTTGGAGAAATGTCTATTCAGGTTGTTCGCCCAGTTTTAAAATTGGGTTTTTGTCTTTTTTTTTTTTTTTTTTAGACGGAGTTTCGCTCTGTCACCCAGGCTGGAGTGCAGTGGCGCCATCTCGGCTCACTTCAAACTCCGCCTCCCGGGTTCACGCCATTCTCCTGCTTCAGCCTCCCAAGTAGCTGGGACTACAGGCACCCACCACCACGCCCGGCTAATTTTTTTGTATCTTTTAGTGGAGACTGGATTGCACCTTGTTATCCAGGATGGTCTCGATCTCCTGACCTCGTGATCCACCCACCTCGGCCTCCCAAAGTGCTGGGATTACAGGCGTGAGCCACCGCGCCCGGCCAGGTTTTTGTCTTTTTATTACTAAGTTGAGAGAATATTAATAGGTTCTAGATACAAGTTCTTTAAGATGTATGATAGGCTAACATCTTCTATTATGTGTTTTGTCTCTTCATTTTATTTATTTTTTTTCTTTGGAAGCACAGGTTTATATTTTGATTAAACCCAACTTATCTACTTTTTCCTTTATTGTATGTGCCTTTTAACGTCCCATCTTAAAAACTGCAGTCCAATATAAGGTGATATAGATTCACCCCTAGATTTTTCTCTAGTATTTTCATAGTTTTGTATCCTATACTTGGCCTTTTGTTCCATTTTTAGTAAATTTTTGCACATGGTGAGAAGTAGGGGTTCAATTGCATTATTTTACAGGTAGATATACAGTCGTCCCAGCAGCATCTGTTGAAAAACTTTTCCTTCTTCACTGAAATGTTTTGATTTCTTTGCTGAATATCAGTTAACCATAAATGTATGTCTTTATTTCTGGACTGCAAATTCTATTCCATTCATCTACAGGTCTACCTTAATGACAGTATAACACTGTCTCGATTACTGTAGCTTTGAAATTGGGAGATGTGAGTTTCCCAAATTTATTCCTCTTTTAAAATTTTTTTTGAAATTCTGAGTCTCTTGAGTTTAATATTTCATGTTAATTTTAGGATCAGTATGTCAATTTCTGCAAAAATCCAACTAGGATTTTATAGAGATTGTGGTGAATCTATAGGTCAATTTAAAAAGTGTTCCTGGGCCAGGCACGGTGGTTCACACCTGTTATCCCAGAACTTTGGGAGGCTGAGGCAGGCGGATCACCTGAGATTGGGAGCTCCAGACCAGCCTAACCAACATGGAGAAACCCCATCTCTACTAAAAGTACAAAATTAGCCGGGTGTGGTGGCACATGCCTGTAATCCCAGCTACTTGGGAGGCTGAGGCAGGAGAATCACTTGAACCTGGGAGGTGGAGGTTGTGGTGAACTGAGATCATGCCATTGCACTCCACCCAGGGCAACAAGAGTGAAACTCTGTCTCAAAAAAAAAAAAACGTATTCTTATCGTAACAATAATAAGTCAACAAACATAGGCTATGCAAACGTGGGATGTCTTTCCACGCATGCAGTTCTTTTTCAATGTGTTAATTTCTTTGAATTAAGTTTTGTAGCACCCAGTGTATAAGAATTACACTCATTTTATTAAATTTATTCTAAATATTTTATGATTTTTTGAAACATGTAAAAGGAATTATTTTCTTAATTTGACTTTTGGATCATTGATCGTAGGTGTATTCATAAGAATACAATCAACATTTTGATAATCGGTCTTGTATGAGGCAACCTTGGTGAAATTATTTATATAGTCTAATAATGTATTTGTTGATTAATTAGGATTTTCTCTATATAAGATTATGCCATCTGCTAATAGAAATATGATTATTTATTAATTTCAATTGTAGATGGTTTTTATTTATTTTTCTTACCTAATTCTCCTGCTAGAACATGTAGTAGAAAGTTGAATAGAAGTGGTGTCCTCATCTGAGGGAGAAAGCATTTATGTTTTCCACATTCAACATGATGTTAGTTGTGGGTCATTTGTAGAGGCCTTTATCAGATGGAGGTAGTTCTCTTCTACTTTTAGTTCATTGAGTGACTTTTTTTTTTTTTTTTTTGAGACAGAGTTTTGCTCTTGTCACCCAGGCTGGAGCGCAGTGGCACAGTCTCGGCTCACTGCAACCTCCACCTCCCCAGTTCAAGTGATTTTCCTGCCTCAGCCTCTGAGTAGCTGGAATTACAGAAACCTGCCACCGCACCCAGCTAATTTTTTTTGTATTTTTAGTAAAGAGGGGGTTTCACCATGTTGGTCAGGCTGGTCTCAAACTCCTGATCTCAAATGATCCACCCGCCTTGGTGTAACCTGCTGGGATTACAGGCGTGAACCACTGCGCCCGGACAGAAACCATCACTTAAACGGTATAAGTCTCTGCTCTGAATGGCAGAAACTTGTTCTAGAATATCCGACACTGTGATATTTCCACTGAAACTTGCCGTAATGTCCATTCTGAGTCTTCTCTCATCACAGACACATCAAACCTCATGTGGTCTGCTAGATCACATGGCTCAAGTTGCAGGGCTAACTGTAGCACAACCTTGACTTGCTGTGGTGTCATTTTCTTCTCTGGATCCCAGTCAAAGCAGGCAGACTTCACCCAGTAGAGGATGAAGCGCTATTTCTGGGATTTGAAATATGTTTGTTCTAGAACTTGAAAAGGCCTATCCATCAGATATTAGGTGTGTGGTTAGGGTTGGCGGGGTTGGGTAAGTGTTAGTAGACGCAAGATGAGGCAAGTTGTTTTTAACTTTGTGAAGGATGTCCCAGCAACCCCTAACCACTGGGAACCTAAAAATTCATTACAATGTCCAGTCTCTGTGAGGTAGGTTAGATAGGGTGGTCATAGCCTTCCTTGACAAGAAACAAGAAACTTATCAATTGATGAAGAGAACAAACCACCAGACAGTGCGCAGACAGCATCCTGGCTCAAGGTTAGAACATCCTGCAGAAAGGAGGTAGGGGAGCAAAAGGGAAAATCCCCAAATTTGCGCAAGCACAGAAACCCATGATTAGTGTCCTTGGGCTGACCTATGCTTATTATAATAGTAAAAACACAACCCGGTGTGGAGATTTAAAATATTAATGAGACATGTGATGTATGTACTAGCATGCACAGTCACTGCACATGCAGGCCTAAGAAATCACCCATAACATACTTAATAGCAACACTCCTTTCCACCTCTTTATGAATAACCATATAAATCTCCCATAAAGGGAAATCCGTCAGCATCAGATGGGGCTGCCTCACCTTTAAGCATCCTACTCTGATCAGCTGTGAGTGTATTTTTGGTTTACAATAAACTCTCTTGCTTACTTTTACTTTGGACTCACGCTCAAATTCTTTTGTGCGGTGAAGTTAAGAACCTAAATCAGCCCACTGGCTACATCTTGACCTACAAAAGGTTTGTCTCCCACACTTGGGAACACATATGTTAAGAATACCGAGTGTACTAACCACTTCTTGCTCATTGTAGCAGATACGAACCAATGATAAAATTCTGGACCCCTCAACAGACTAAATGGGCCACCATCTTGGCCAAGGGGATCCCATCTAAACCTGAAAAACTAGTTCAGGCCGTGATGGGAAGGGATGGCCTCATTATACCCTCCTCTCTTTGTAGTTTAGTCCAGCATTACCGTTAAAACAGAGATCTTAAGACTCACAAAACAGACTCTTAGTAGCAATAAGATGCCAGATCCCATCCTGGCTGACATGGTGAAACCCTGTCTCTACTAAAAATATAAAAAATTGGCTGGGCGCGGTGGCTCACGCCTGTAATCCCAGCACTTTGGGAGGCCGAGGCAGGCAGATCACGAGGTCAGGAGATCGAGACCATCCTGGCTAACACGGTGAAACCCCGTCTCTACTAAAAATACAAAAACAAAATTAGCCAGGCGTGGTGACGGGCGCCTGCAGTCCCAGCTACTCTGGAGGCTGAGGCAGGAGAATGGCATGAACCCGGGAGGTGGAGCTTGCAGTGAGCAGAGATCACGCCACTGCACTCCAGCCTGGGCGACAGAGCAAGACTCCGTCTCAAAAAAAAAAAAAAAAGAGCCAAATTCCAACTTGACTCTGGTATAGCATCACGTGACATATAGCAGGCCCTGAAGGAACTCAAAATATTTTACTTCAAAATATATTTCTTTAACATATATTGAAATGGCTCTGCAAAGCTATCTCTTCGTGGGGAGGAAGGTGAATTTTCATTCTATAGAGAATCTCCTTCCCTTACTAGTTCTTTTCTGGAGAGTCTGACACATTTTAAGGTCGATAAGAGATATTCACCATCTAATCTCTCTGAAGCCTGCTACCTGGAGGCTTTATATACATGACAAGAACATTGGCTTCCACAACCCCCACTTATCTTAACTCAAGCTGACAAACTCTTCAGGAAGAGCTTAAATCAGCAATTTGCCACTCAGGAAATCCTTGAATTCACCTATGACCCGGAAGTATCTGCTTCAAAATGCTCCACCTTTCCGGGCAAAACCAATGTGTACCTTACACATATTGATTTATATCTTTGACTGTAACTTCTGTCTCCCTAAAATGTACAATACCAAGATGTAACTCAACCACCTTGGACACATATTCTCAGGACCTCCTGCGGCTGTGTCATGGGTCATGATCCTTAACCTCAGCAAAATAAACCTCTAAATTACTTGAGACCTGTTTCAAATACTTTTTAGTATAAACCAAACATCGTCTCCTTTTTGGTATAAACCAAACATCAAGTCTTTAAAATAATGAATCAGTGTAATGTTCTATAGGATATCCAGAAGTCTAGATCTCTACTGCATATTATAATGCAGAATAGGACAGTTGATATAACCCCAATGCAAAACTTTAAATAAAATATTGAATCCATTTTCGGTTAAAAAAACTATTTTTGATCCTCCGTTGTAATGGAGTGAAAAATAATACATTTTCTAAATCAATGTCAAATGACTAATCATGGGTGTTATTAATCTGCTGTGGTAAAGATATTACATCTGGCACAGCAGTTGTGATCAAAGCTACTACTCATTTAATATTATGGTAAGCTAACATAATTCTCCAGAAGGCATCTGGTATCTGTGGTTAGCACTACCTTCCCTTATTCCCAGTGAGTATACTATATTGTTTTTAGTTTATTGACCGGCAGTGGTGGATGATATTTTAAGAGGTTTCCTTTTGTCTTTCTTCTCTATGATAACTCCTCCAATACAGATCAGTGAGTAACTTACTCCTAATTTCAAGTACATTACTTCAAATTAGGTACTTACTCACAGAGTAAATGACCACTGAATAAGCCCACAGAATCTGTGAACATATTGTAAGTCAAACTTTAGCAAAGATTCCATTTATTATCCAGCCTCTGTAGGCCCCTATCTTAACAAGTGGGCCAAAATTTTTTGTGTATCAAAGTAAACTTATTAGTCCTAGAAATGTTAGGCTTTTGAGATATTTCTCCCAGTGGACAGTAATCTTAGTAAACAGTTTTAGGTCCTTTTCCAGAAAGACTCTGGGAACCATCCTGGTATAACTTACCATAGTTTTGTAACATTACATGTGTTACAAAAGGGGACTTTCTCTTGGGGACTTGGCCAGCACTTCAGGCAATGGGTTCTAATTTCAGATTTAGATCTGAAATTTGGCTCATATTAGGGAACTGGAAAAGGGATTGTTGGGAAACAATTTCCTATAGGTCTCTCATGTTTTTATATACTTTCTGAAGAAAAGCACTGTCTATCCTTTGTATTAAGCTGTCTTTCAAATGATTTTCCTACAACAGCATTTAAAAATAGGAATCATTTATCCTGTCATATCAAAGGATTGATATGTATATTACCTATTATTTTAAAATGTAGGTTTCCTAAACACAGATTCCTCTCCTGTAATGCGCTGTGTGTGCAGGTATCACTTAGTCTATTTGCTGACACCCTATGCAAATTGAGACTTGAGGAACTGACCAAAAAAGCTGTTACTCTGACTATTCCTGTTGCTGTGACCAATAAACTATCCCTCATCTTTAACTCATAAATATTGTGCCTTCTACTGGCTTGTACATAACAGTGGCAAGATAACTTGGTATCTTGCAAGTAGGGTAAAATATCACACTCTTCACAGTTTCTAACAAGGTTTGTAACCTTAATACTGGTACAACTACTCACATTCTCTAGTTATTTTATTGGTTTTTTTTTCTTTTTAAATTTAGAGGTTAAGCAGCCACTTCTATTGGCTGCCTATCTAACACTTGGGATGTACATTCTGGAGTGGTTTGAAAATACGAGGTAAGATAGAAATTTGGACCTGGTCCACCAAATTTCTCACTTGCAAATTAGATAATATATTAGTGTCTAATTCATAATGGTTTGTATGCATTGAATAATGTATTATATGCAAACTATTGATACTAGTATATGGCATTTATGAGGGAATCAATATATTATAATCATCATTACCTGTTTACACATATAAAAACTGAAAGTATTAAGTTACTTAAGAAAAAATTCTTTCAGGCACAATCCTAGGTGTGACCAGCTCCAAAACTGTGAAGTAACTGAAAGAAAAACATATTTTATGTCATGCAAATATTACCCAGCACATTAAGGTTGGTCCATAACTGTTGATGCTCCCTTTTTTATATAGTACATATACATGTTAAAAAAATTTTAAGAGAATGTGAGAATTTTATCTTATAGGGTAAAAGCAGAATGATCTTAATCAAAGCTCCATGACTAAATGTGCAGTAACAATTTATATTCTTTATATTTTGAATAATTATCATCAGAATAAAGACTAATGAAAAGTTTTATTAAGATCCAATTGACCTATAATTTTATGAACAAAGCTCTAATTCTGAGATTCAACAGTATTTAAAACAATAAAATATCTTGTCTAATTTAACTTACTAATATAAATATGACTAGATATATGGGTGACTTGATGGGAAATTTATTTTCATTTTTTCATTTTATTTCTGTCATTATTCAAAGATAAACTGCATTATTCATATATAAAGACATTAGGGCTTCATTAAGGATAACACACTAGATTAAAAAAAAAGAAGTAAAAGAAAAGCAGATGGATACATTAACTAGTAGACATTCAGTGCATTCTTCCATCTGAGATTTTTTTTCCTCAACATTATTGATTTTTGCCCAGAGATAAACCCAGTCACCATGAGTGATAAACGATCACCAAATCCCATTGACTTTTTTCTCTTTTTGCTGCAGTTTTTGTCAGGTCAATGAATTATCTTTGGCTTATGCTTTGTTCTCTAAGGCGTAAATCAAGATTTAAAAAAAAAGTTGAATCCTTATAAGTTTGAAGGGATAAAGCCAAATATAGTCTAAAGAGAATATATAAGCTTTTGTTTACTTGAAATGTCTTACTTTAATTCTTATGATGTCAGTTTAATTGATACTTATTAATGATTAGAAGATGGGTTATATTTATAAAATTTCAATTTATAAATGAACTGACAGAAAAGATTGCTTTTGTTTTCTTTATGTACTTTAACTTCAGCAGTTGTAATTTATTAATAAAAATGATTGCTTTAATAGCAGTCAGTGAAGATTAAACCATAGAATTCATGTCTAAAACACCAAAAGCAATGGCAACAAAAGACAAAATTGACAAATGGGATCTAATTAAACTAAAGAGCTTCTGCACAGCAAAAGAAACTACCATCAGAGTGAACAGGCAACCTACAAAATGGGAGAAAATTTTCGCAACCTACTCATCTGACAAAGGGCTAATATCCAGAATCTACAATGAACTCAAACAAATTTACAAGAAAAAAACAAACAACCCCATCAAAAAGTGGGCAAAGGATATGAACAGACACTTCTCAAAAGAAGACATTTATGCAGCCAACAGACACATGAAAAAATGCTCATCATCACTGGCCATCAGAGAAATGCAAATCAAAACCACAATGAGATACCATCTCACACCAGTTAGAATGGTGATCATTAAAAAGTCAGGAAACAACAGGTGCTGGAGAGGATGTGGAGAAATAGGAACACTCTTACACTGTTGGTGGGACTGTAAACTAGTTCAACGATTGTGGAAGTCAGTGTGGTGATTCCTCAGGGATCTAGAACTAGAAATACCATTTGACCCAGCCATCCCATTACTGGGTATATACCCAAAGGACTATAAATCATGCTGCTATAAAGACACATGCACATGTATGTTTATTGTGGCATTATTCACAATAGCAAAGACTTGGAACCAACCCAAATGTCCAACAATGATAGACTGGATTAAGAAAATGTGGCACATATACACCATGGAATACTATGCAGTCATAAAAAATGATGAGTTCATGTCCTTTGTAGGGACATGGATGAAATTGGAAATCATCATTCTCAGTAAAGTATCGCAAGAACAAAAAACCAAACACCGCATATTCTCACTCATAGGTGGGAATTGAACAATGAGATCACATGGACACAGGAAGGGGAACATCACACTCTGGGGACTGTTGTGGGGTGGGGGGAGGGGGGAGGGATAGCATTGGGAGATATACCTAATGCTAGATGACGAGTTAGTGGGTGCAGCACACCAGCATGGCACATGTATACATATGTAACTAACCTGCACAATGTGCACATGTACCCTAAAACTTAAAGTATAATAATAAAAGGAAAAAATAGTAATAATAACCACAAACTTTTGTTAAATGTTTAGCTTTTGCCAGGTGCATATTAAGCATTATCTGTCTGTCTGTGTATCTATGTATCTATCCACTTATGTATCCATCCAAAATTATTTCCTCTAACTCTAGGAAGTAGTACTATTATTATGCCTATTTCATAAAGTTGAAACCCATCATAATGAGGCCATGTAACTTGATCAACTCAACAGATCTAATATGTGCTGAGATAAAAATCTGAATCTGGGTAGTCTTATTTGGTGTCAGTAATACACTACTAAATTATATATACTTCCTTTTTAATGGAACTGTAGAACTGTATATAATGGCTATTAAATGTATGTATAATTTTAAAATTAATGATATCTTGGTGAAGCTTTATCAGACTAGCATACTATTTAAAACATTCAAAATAAGAAAAGACACAATAAATAAGCTATTTAATCCAAAACAATGAATGTGTGATTGTGACAAATTCAAACGGACAGTTCCAAAAAACAAGTACTTCAATGGCTTGAGATTCATTAGAGAGCCAATATGGGATTTGACTTCATGTAAGGCTACAACTTTGTCCCTTCTCTCACCCAATAATTGTTCCCCCAACACACTAGTACATTCGTATTTTTTTGCACTGTCCTGGTAATGTTGTGTATTCTCATTATAAGCAATATATTTGACACTGTATAATTTTAGCGCATAAAATAAGTAACTCATTAAGAAAAAGAATAACATACACTAACTTATTTTTAATTTAAAAATATATTAAATTCAATATTTTGACTTTCTTGCAAACATATTTATTCTTTCATTATCATTTCCATTAAAGGGACCAAAAATATTCCAAACACTACCTATACTATACAAAAGTTTTGTTCAATACCAGTATTTTATTAAGTACTATAAATTAAAGATAATCATATAATTATACTTCAGTATTCTGACAACCAGTGTAACATGCATATTTAAGTTTTAATCAAAAGCAAAATAATTATCCTGGGCGTGGTTGCTCATGACTGTGATCACAGAACTTTGGGAGGCCAAGGTGGTCTGATCACCTGAGGTTGGGAGTATGAGACCAGCCTGGCTAACATGGCAAAACCCTGTCTATACTAAAAATACAAAAATTAGCCAGTGTGGTGGCGGGTGCCTGTGATTCCAGCTACTCAGGAGACTAAGGTAGGAGAATCACTTGAACCTGGAAGGTGGAGGTTGCATTGAGTTGAGATTGTGCCACTGCACTGCAGCCTGGGCCACAGAGTGACATTCTGTCTCAAGAAAAAAAAAAAAGAAAAAAGCCAAGATAATTAAATACAATTTTAAAATCAAGTAATACATATATAACATTTTATATATTCTCAAAACTTTACAAATAGATCCTAAGTTTCTATTTATATGCTTTCAAGCCTTATATTTGAGGGATCTCAGGCAAAGAAACAGCAACACAGGTATAATAGGAGTGTTACTAAAAAGAAGAACAAAGAATAAAACAGAAAACACAGGTAAAAATCTTCTAAAATGTAGCAAAACTTGAAACAACATATTGAAATGTGATGAAGTAACTCCTGGATTTATGAGGAATCTGATAGATGATTGATTTCTTCAAGGCATGTCACGTGCCACTTCCTTGCCTAAACCCTTACATTTTTTACCATTGCACTTCAAACTCTTGTTCCTTACTTTAGGGTTCAAGGCCATATATGATCTGGTTTACATCTGTCCTGAACTCAGCTCTTACTTCTCTGTATTATTATCTACACTGTAGTCCCAGTGGCCTATTTCCTTGTTAAGAAAACATTAAGTTTATTTCTACCTTAGGGTCCTTATCCATGCTATTATTTTCTGAAAACATTTTTTCCGTGCATTTCTTGCATGAATGATATTTGTATCATTTCAGACTTCCTATTAAATGTCAACCACCTAGAAAGGCTTGTTCTGCACATACAGTCTTAATACCTCCATCCATCACTATCACATTACTCTGCTTATTGTCTTTACTGACTTGTCATTTTCTGAAGTTTTAACCTTCAGTTTGTTTCCTTGTTCACTGGCTGTCTTCTCACTTCTAGAATATAAGTTTTATGAGAGTAAGGATGTTGCAGATTATATTCACTACTATACCCATAGCACTATAAACGTTGACATGACTAAATGCTTGACACATATTTATAAAATTAAGAAAAATAGTTCTTTAGAAATAGACTACGTTTTACTCTATTATCAATTACCTACTCTTCCACTTTCCTATGACATGATTCTTATGAGCATGATAGCTAGTGAAAATTGTCAGTTGGAATGACAAATCAATATCAAGGTTTGTGACGCTAGTGTGAGTTGATACAATAAGCAACATGAATTGTTTGCTTTTTTTTTCACACTGATTACCTTCTTCAGTGTTGAATGACTTAAAGGAATGTTTCCCCTTTAAATTAAATCTTATGTTTAATCCATAAGGAAGGGAACAATATACACTGGGACCTACTTGATGGAGGAGGGTGGGAGGAGGGTGAGGATTGGGAAACTACCTATCAGGTATTGTGCTCATTACTTGGGTGACAAAATAATCTGTACACCAAATCCCCACAACACGCAAATTGCCCAGTAACAAAGCTGTGCATGTTCCTCCTTGAACATAAAATAAAAGTTTGAAAGAAAAAAATCTTATGTGTAATCTTTATTTTTCAAAAAAGGATATTTGTTTTTGTTGCTATATAACAAATTAACACACACTTAGAAACTTAAACAACACCCATATATTAGCCCAAAATTCTGGAGGACAGAAATCTGGACATGGAATGGCTAGATTCTTTCCTTAGAGCCTCATAAGGTCAAAGTCTAGGTGTGGGCCAGGGAGTTTTCTCATCTAAAGCTCAAGATCCTCTTCCAGGATCATATGGTTGTTGAGAATTTACTTCCCTGTGCTTGTGAGACTGAGGTTCTTGCTTCCTTGCCAGCTATCTGCTGAGAGACATAAGGCTGCAGATGCGACTCCCATCATTCCCACATCACCCTCTTCATCTTCAAAGTCAGTAACGGAGATTCTACCTCATGTCAAATTCTTGTCATACTTCTAATCACTTTTAAAGTTTCATATTATTATCTATGACCGCCACTGATAATCTTTCTCACTTTCTTTCTTAATCAACTGTGCTGTCTAATGTAATCAAATCCCAGGAGTGGTTCTTCATTATTTCCACAGTGTAGGCCCACTCACAAAGGGGTGAGGAGACTATATAGTGTTTATAATTAGCAGGCACAAATATTGGTGACAAATTTGGAATTTTGCCTACCATAAACAGATATAACCTTGATATTTAATCAATATATAAATTTTATAAAAATGATTTATATAAGTAGCTTTATTTACCTAAACACAATATGATTGCTGTACAATAGGCAATAAAATATTCAAGCAGTAAATAGCATCCTAATTTTACAGATGTATAACTTATACATAGATTGTTAAAGTCTTAGAGGACAAGTTAATCATAAATTGCATCATTCTCAGCTACTGGTAAAAGTTTCTCAAATAGGTAAAATTTGCAGTTCAAGGTATTTGTATATGCATTTCATTTATCATTGAATGAGTACTTACAGTTATTTAATTAACATCCAGGAGATAACCAGTTTGCTTAGTAATCAAATTTAAATGAGATTTAATTTTATAATTAGATTATAATTTATACATTAAATGTGTAGTGATAAACTGTTACCTGTTTATAAAGCATGGAAGTAGGGCAAATGTTTTTAAGCTAATCAGCCATATGAAGAGAACTTAATATATTTTTGCTTTATAAGGGTTTAGTCTTTCATTTAATTGAAAGGGAACCAGTTCTACCTGCAACCAATTGAAATTTAGTTTGTTGGGCTATAAATAACATCCAGAGAAGGAAGACCTAGCATTTTGCCCCACTTTACCATTTACTAGCTATATGTCCCTGGCAAGCTTTTCTGCAAGATATCTTTTTGATTACTCTTTTCAAAACATCCTAGAATTGTTCCTATCAACGTATACACACTTTTCATCCCCCTCAAATTCTTTACCATCACCATCTATCTTGAGATTTCTATGACTAAACTCCTGACTCCTATGTATGTTGTTCACAGCACAAAGTCATCTTCCACACTCTAATCTCCATGCTGTTGTGGGCACTTCTCATTCTAACTTGATCTCTCACCCTTTTCTCAGCTTTGAAGCCCTACACTTGGCTCTAAAACTCAACAACTGTTGTAGGAAAAATCCTTTCTTTCGTCAGACTCTGGCTAGTTTTTTTCCCTTTTTGCTCCAATTTAAAATCAACTTTCCCTGAGGACACTGCCTGATGGGCCTCTCAAATGGTGGATGATCTTTGTCCTTGGACTTCTGATAATGCTAGGCCTTCAGGTATTGTAGGTTTCTTCCTTCTCATTGCTACTTTCAGATTTTCCTTCAGTTCTTTCTCTGCAACTCCCTGGATTTTAGCAACTTTTTTTTTAGGATTCTATTTTAATCTTCCTAGTTGTATTTTATTACTGACTGCTAAATCAGTCTTTTCTCTTGAACATTTTTTTTCTGCAATATTGTCCCCCTTTTCTGCAGTGAAACTCCTATTTTAACTCTTAATTCTTATATTTTAGTGTGTAGAAACATTCAGTGGAACTTCCAAGAAAATTGTAGAACACACTGAAAATAAGGGATCTCTCTAGAAACTGTATGTAGTTTGGTTTAGGTGTATGATAAGTAATACATTATTATAAGCCTCTTAACAACAGAGGGAAAGCATCTTACCTATAGAGGAGCAAAGACGAGAATTACATCTGGCTTCTCCTCGGAAACCATGAAAGCAAAAAGATACTGGAGGAAAATATCTAAAATGTTCTGAGAGAGAAAGGGAAGAAAAGAAAACAATGTAAAATGTTGTATCTTACAAAATTATCCTTCAAACATGAAGGTGAAATATTTTCTCAGACAACTGAAAATTAAGGGAATTTGTTGTCAGTAGGCCTGCCTTGAAAGAAATGTTAAAAGACTTTATTTAGAAGAGAAAAGCCAACAAATGCAGGCAGACTCTAGAATTATTAGAAGGGTCAAAGAAAAAGATATTCTCCTACCACCACCAGAAGGAATGCAGCCCTGACAACATCTTGGTGTTAGAACTTCTGAGCCCCAGAATTGTAAGAGAATAGATTAGCATTTGTTTAAGAGGAGAAAATATTAAGAGTTTAACATAAAGGAAATCTTAATAGTAACAAAAAGTGAGTACTTTTCATCACTGTAGAAGCCTAGAAAAAAATGGGCAACCCAGTAGCAATAGCACTTCTATTATTAGTACAAAAATTTCAATTTTGAAAAGTATAATTTCTCATTGTTAGTAAACAAGATTCCTTAGAGAGATAGCTGATTTCATTTATGAGAAAGGAAATGGATATGAAGAGCCTGTAACACATTGTCCTAACAGAAAGCTGTGAACTATATATATATTTCACACACATTGTGAAATGGCTATATCAGGCTAATTACATAAAGTATGTACTGCCTCACATATTTATTTTTGTGATGAGAACCTTTACAATTTACTCAGTAATTGTCAAGGATACATTTTTATTAATATAGTCACCAAGTTGTACAATAGATATCCTGTACATGTATATAGATCTCTTGTACATGTATATAATATATATGTATATATTTATATACATTTATTTAAAACATATACATATGTGTGTGTATGTGTGCTATATATATGCATATATATGCTAAGATTTTTCTCCAGAGAACTCAGGAATCAATAAGAAGATTTCCCACTTGTCAAAGATTTAAACACCCAAGCATCAATAAGAATAACAACCATGGTGAGTTAATCATATCAAATATATTAAAATCTAGAAGATCATACATATATTTTTAAAAGGAATTGTTATTTGATGATCTTCAGAGGATGAAAGGCATTAAAACATAACTTTTGTGACTGGAACAAAAAAAGAAATATTCAGGCACTTTTTCTGATTTTTTTATATGAAATTTCCCTTAAGGTAACCACATAACTAATGAGGGAGATTTTTTATTTCATAAAGTGGTCTACCTAGAAATGCAAGATAGAGCTAAAATATTGCCATTTTATCTGTCAACCAGTTGGAAACAGAAGAAAACTTTAATACGATTTAAACCTGAAATGTAATGCTAACATCATATTTACTGATGAACTATTCTTGCTCCCTAAAATCAGGAGCAAGCAAAAGTGTTTAAAACTTCTCTTCAACGTTATAATTTAGGTTCTAGCAAATTCAGCGGGGTAAATAAAAGGCATAAATATTGGGAAAAGATGGAGATGTTCTTTTCTGTAAATCAATATACTTTTCTTAAAATTATAGGTTAGCAATAATTGAAAAATTAAATTTAAAAATATCATTTCTAGTGGCATCAAATACTTTTAATACCAAACAATAAATTCCACAAAAAATGCATAAGATATTTTTACTAAGAACTACAACACATTGCTTGGAAAGACTAGTGAAGACCTAAATAATAATATATAATGTGTTTATTAATTGGAAGACTCAATAATGTTAGGTTGTCAATCTTCTTCTAAATTAATAATTGTATTTAAATGGACAACAAATTGTATGCATTTATTATATACATCATGGTGTTTTGAAATACAGCCATGAGCTCCATAATGATCTTTTTGTCAACAACAGACATATGTACAATAGGTTTTTCAGGAAGTATTCCAGAAGAAGGCATTGTTACCATAAGACATGACAGATCCATGCGTGTTACTGCCCCTGAAGACTTTCGGTAGGCTAAGATGTGAAGGCGGAAGACAGTGATATTTATCCTGACCCTGTGGAAGCCTAGGCTGATATATGTGTTTGTGTCTTAGGTTTTAACAGAAATGTTTAAAAACTAAAAAATAAAATAAAAATTTTTAAAATTGAAAAAAATGCTTATGGAATAAGTATATAAAGAAAGAAAATATTTTTATACAGCTCTACAATATGCTTGTGTTTTAGGCTAAATGTTATTACAAAAGAGTCAAGAAGTTTTGAAAATTTTATAAGGTAAGAATGTTGCCATTAGCTAAGGTTATTAGTGAAGAAATTATTTTTTAAATAAATTTAGTGGAGCTTAAGTGAATAGCCTTTGTAAGTCTACAGTATGTCCTAAGCCTTCATGTTCACTGGCCACTCACTCACTGACTCACTCAGTACAACTTTCAATTCTGCAAGTTCTTTTCACGATAAGTGTCCTATACAGCTATACATTGTGTTTACCTTCTATACCATATTTTTATGGTACATTTTCTATTTTTAGCTATGTTTAGATACACAAATACTTGCCATTGTGTTTCAGTTACCTACAGTATTAACTAAAGTAACATGCAGTACAGATTTTAGCCTAGGAGCAATAGACTATACGATATAACCTACATCTGTAGTAGGCTGTCATATATGTTTGTGTAAGTGTACTCTCAACAAAATTGCCTAATGAGACATTTCTACAAATGTATTTCTGTTGTTAAATGTTGCATGACTGTAATGTACACATTGTGAAATCGCTATATCAATCTAATTCAAGTATCCACTGCCTCACATATTTATCATGCTTGTGATGGGAACCTTTAAAATCTACTCAGTAATTTTCAAGGATACATTTTTATTAACTGTAGTCATCATGTTGTACAATAGGTCCCTTGAACCTATTCCTCCTATCTTACTGAAATTTTGAATCCTTTGATCGGTATCTTCCCAACCCTCTGCCCCACAGCTCCTGGTGATCACCATTCTACTTCCTGCTTTAGTGAGTTCAACATTGTTAGATTCCACATATATGTGAGATCATGCAGTATTTGTCTTTCTGTATCTAGCTTACATCACTTAATCCAGTGTCCCTAAGTTCATCCTTGTTGTCACAAATGACAGAATTTCTTTTTAAATGCAAAATAGTATTTCGTTGTGTGTATATAACACATTTTCTTCATTCATCCATTAATGAGCACTTAGTTTGTTTTTGTGTGTTGGCTATTGTGAATAATGTAATGAGAATAAGAATGCAGATATCTATTCAACATAATGAATTCATTTCCTTTGGCTATAACTCAGTAGTAGAATTGCTGAATCACATGTTAGTTCTAATTTTAATTTTTTGAGGAAATTTTAAACTGTTTACCCTGTCTGTACTAATTTTCATTCTCATCAAGAGTACGCAGGGGTTTTCTTTTCTCCATATTCTCTCTTACACTTGTTATCTGTAGTCTTTTTGATAATGGCTAGTTTAACAGGTGTGATGAAATAACTCATTATGGCTTTAGATGATTAGTAATTGTGAGCATTTTTTTCATATACTTGTTGGCAACTTGTACGTCTTTTGAGAAATGCCTATTCAGATTCTTTGCCGATTTCTATTCAGGGTTTCCTTGTTTTCTTTCTATAAAGTTGCTTGATTTCCTTATATATTTTAGATATTGATCCCTTATCAGATGAATGGTTTGCATATATTTTTCTCATTTCATTCGTTGTCTCTTAATTCTGTTGATTGTTTCTTCTGCTGTGCAGAAGGTTTTTAGTTTGATGTAATCCCATTTGTCAATTTTTCTTTTGTTGCTTATGCTTCTGGGGTCACACCTCCCAAAAAAATCATCGCCCAGACCAATATCATAGACCTTTTCCCGTTTTTTTCTGGTAATTTTAGAATTCCATGTCTTATTAAGACTTTAACCCATTTCGAGTTGACTTTTGTAAATTATGTCAGATAAGAGTACAACTTCATTCCCCTTTATGTGGCTATTCAGTTTTTATACCACCACTTATTGAGGAGACTCATTTCCCCGTTATGTGGTCTTGACAATTTTGTCAGAAACCAATTGCATGTAAATATGTGGATTTCTTGCTAACCTCTCAATTCTGTTCCATTTTTTATGGTTCTATTTATAACATTATTGTGACGTTTTTATTACTAAAACTTTGCAGTATACTATGACATCAGATAGAGTGATTCCTCTAGCTTCCTTTTCTTTTGGATCAATATTACTTTTGCTATTCCATGTAAATTTTGTAATTCCACATATATTTTAGGATAGCTTTTTGTATGTATGTGGAAAATTCCATGCTAGAGATAGTAATTTTCTTGAATATGTAGATTGCTTTCCATAGCATGAACATTCAGTAATTTTCTTGAATATGCAGATTGCTTTCCATAGCATGAACATTCTAACAATATTATACTTCCTTCCAGTATGTTGACATCTATTTATGTGTTCCTCAATTTCTTTCATCAAGGTTTTATAGTTTCAGTGTAAGGTTTTTCTCCTCTTTGGTTAAATTTATTCCTGAAAATTTAACATTTTATAGCTATTATAAATAGAATTGTTTTCCTGAATCAATTTCTTTAACCAGTTTTTGTTAATTTGCTGTTAGTGTGTAGAATGCTACCAATATTTGTATGCTGATTTCATATCCTGCAACTTTACTCAATTTTTTTATTAGTTCTAACAGTTTTTTAATAGTCATTAGGTTATTTCGTAATAAGATTATGTCATCTGCAAAAAAAAATTTTAATTCATTTCCTATTTAGATGTCTTTTTTTTTTCTCGTGTCATGCAACCTCATGCAGCCAACATAGTACTGGAAGTCCTAGCCAGAACAATTATACAAGAGGTTGCCTGCAACAGTAGACAGAAGATCATCTATCTATCTATATAATATACATATAAATTATATTTATAATAAAATAAAATGTATATTATATATAATAATATATTACTTTCAGCTAATTAAAGTATGCACTGCCTCACATATTTATCATTTTTGTGGTGAGAACCTTTCAGACCATATGTGTGTCCTTATGGGTAAGACTCTTGTAGTCAGCTTCTCATTGGATCTTTTTTTCTTTTTTTTGTACTATTCAGCTACACTATGTCTTATTTGGAAACTTAATTTATTTACATTCAAGGTAATTATTGATAGGTAAGGACTTAACTACTGCCATTTTCTTAATTGTGTTTTGATTGTTTATTAGGTTCTTTGTTCCTTTCTCTCTTTCTGTCTTCATTTGTGATTGATTTTTTTCTGGTGTTACACTTTGATTAACTCTTATCTGTCTTTTGTGTAGCTATAATATATTTTAGTTTTGTGGTTGCCATGAGACTTACATAAAACATTTTATAGTTATAACAGGCTATTTTAAATTGATAACAGCTTAATTTTGATTGCATAGAAAACTACTTTTACTCCACCCCCATCTACAAACATTTTAGGTATCCCTCAGTAAATTATTGTAGCTATTATTTTAATAGTTTTGTCTTTTTTATTGTAGGTATTATTATTTTAATAGTTTTGTCTTTTGATCTTAATATTAAGTTTATAAGTGATTTACGCAATCCCATTACAATATTTGAGTATTCTGAGCTAACAGACTCAGTTTGCAATTACTGGCCTGGACCTGGGGACATGGAAGCCTTCCCAGCACTGGGTGAAAACCCAGTTTTAAATCCCAGCACTGGGTTAAAACCTACTGGAGTAGGCCTGGTTTTGAGACCTGAGGCAAAGTCTCATGCTCACTTCCCTCTCCTTTTTTAAAGACGAAGGTATCTCTCTTCATGCTGTGCTGCCTGGGATTAGAGAAGGAGTGACTGGGTAATGTAAAACTGGCCTTCCTACTTTCTTTAATTTATTTTTCTTATTTTGGTTTTACTCCGAGGTGCTGTCATCTCTCACCTGATTTTCATAACTTTTGTGAAGATACATTCCTGCATGGGTAGTTGTTCAAGTTGTTGTTTCTTCAGGGCAAGGAGTGCTAAAAAGTTCTATTCTGCCATCTTGACCTTTACTAAATTTAAATAATACCTTAATGAAGAGGTTGAGATTAACAAAACATTCTTCTTCACTTAGAAAAGTTAAAAGAACAAAAGATACACATAAAAAAGAATATCACCATTTTTGCAAACCTCTATAATGTGGGTCTACCAATAATTCTAATGTTTCATAATACATTAACTAACATTATTAAGAGAAAATGAACTGTATATTAATAATCTCGTGTTAAAAAACATGATAGCATCATTGAAGGGTTTTTTGGCAAAACACAGAACTTTCATATGTTTTAACTTCTAGATCTAGCTAACAGATTACAAAAGATACATTAGGAAGTCATGTTTCACAAGAAGAATGCAATAAGCAATAATGAAAACTTAAAACTATTCTAGCGCATATACAATCTATTTCTTTCAAGGATGAATTATACAAAAATCAAAGAGGGTTGGGGTACCCATACATGAAAAGACATTTAGGATACATTTTAATCACATGCAATATGTAAACCTTTTTATATTATGGAAAGCTTTTGGGTACTATAGAGTATATGTGTTGCACAGATAGTTAGCATTGTATATATGCATACCTATGTATGTATTAATATTGATAATGTATATTAATAGATAATTTAAATTTTAAAATATGGTACAATGAGACAATAGGAATTGGCAACAGTTTAAATACAAACAAGTAAAAAACAGTTTTATGGTTATAGATATATAGAATATTCCATTCTAGGTATAAATGCCTCAGATAATTAGTATAAACAAAAATCTGTTTTTGCACGTAGAATAGATATACATTGGTAAACTCAGTTTATGTATGTGCAGGCTTTTTATAAACTAAATATTTGCATAGAATATTAAAGGCCTAATGTTAATTATAAGAATGTCAAGCAGACTTAACTCTTTTCTTTATTAGCTAATAATTGCCTTAATAAAGAATAGAAGTATGATTGCTTAGGTATTTTCATATAGATTTCTATTCAGTTTTCTTCCAATTTAATGAAGTAAAGTGTCCATGCTAATTGCCTATATCTTTCTTGCCCTAATCTTTAAAAATTTCTGGTAGATAAAATAAGGTCTGCAAAAGCAGTAAGTCGATATATCTGTGTGAAAAGACAGAGAAGGGCAGACAATTGAAAATTAGTGGTGATGTTCTTTCCTAAGAAGATGATTTTTACCAATGCATACTGATATCGTTTGGCTGTGTTCCTCTCCCTAAAATCTCATCTTGAATTGCAATCCCCATAATCTGCCCCATGTCAAGGAAGAGACCAGGTGGAGGTAATTGAAATATTTGGGTGGTTCCTTCATACTGTTCTCATGATAGTGAGTGAGTTTTCACAGGATCTGATGGTTTTATATGTATGGTAGTTCCTTTTGCATTCATTCTCCTTCCTGCTATCTTGTGAAGAAGGTGCCTTGCTTCCCCTTTCCCTTCCCCTTCCACCATGATTCTAAGTTTCCTGAGGCCTCCCCAGCCATGCTGAATTGTGAGTCAACTAAACCTCTCTCCTTTATAAATTACCCAGCATCGAGCAGTTATTTGTAGCAGTATGAAAACAAACTAATAAACATACACTCCTCCCTTCCTTGCACACACCACTTCTATTATGCTATCTAATCATACCAATTTGGGTAGCTATAAAATTGTGAAAGAGATAAAACTGAAGATGATTAAGCAATGTTTTGGAGTAGTGCTGGGAGTAGTGTTGTCTTTCACACCATATGTATTCATTAAACTGTATGTTTTCAGGAAAGGTTAAGGCACTTTGGTGTTTGTCTTGTAAAATGCTTTTGGAAAGCAATGGTCGATAAAATCTCTTCATCCTCTACTGGGAAAGTGTCTTTTTCTTAACTGATATTTCTGCAAGGTCCCCATGAAGCAGGGTCCTGATATGATTAACACCAGAAACTGTTCCTTTCTAGCTGAATATAGAAGGTACCGAATGGAATTTAAGATCAAAATTATATGCCCTAGCTAATACCTAGAATACAGCCACTGCATATTGTTAGAGTGGTATGCTTTAAAAGTTTAAGTTTTGGGAGGCCAAGGCGGGTGGATCACAAGGTCAGCAGTTCAAGACCAATCTGGCCAACATGGTGCAACCCCATTTCTACTAAAAATACAAAAACTAGCCAGGCTTGGTGGTGGGCGCCTGTAATCCCAGCTACTAGGGAGGCTGAGGCAGAGAACTGCTTAATCCCGGGAGTTGGAGGTTGCTGTGAGCCAAGATCACGTCACAGTACTCCAGCCTGGGCAATAGAGCAAGACTCGGTCTCAAAAAAAAAAAATAAAAAGTCTAATCTATATATTGGAATGATAAACATCCCTCAAGAATATTCAGAAAATGCACACACGTTTGTGCATGCACATGTACACACACATGCACATACACATATATCATCCTATTTCTAGAGAGGGATAGTCCAAAAGTTTTTCCATAAGTAACCTTTATATAATCAAGCTTCTAAAACAAGTTGCTCAATATTTCAATAGATGATAGAAAAAAAATGAAAAATTCTGAATTTTTAATTTAAAAATTCAACCAGAAA
The DNA here is from genome assembly GCF_000001405.40 of Homo sapiens. Lineage (NCBI taxonomy): Eukaryota > Metazoa > Chordata > Mammalia > Primates > Hominidae > Homo > Homo sapiens. The sequence goes on from NC_000003.12 coordinate 80,851,428, forward strand.
TGACACACTTAGGTAAGAACACTTTTGAAGTGTGTGCTACCTAAGTGCCTTTCTTTGCCAGTAAAATCCTCAGCAATGCATTTTCATATTTTCCACTTCTGAGTACTGGTAACTTTCAATGATGACACTCATTACTATGTGTGTGCTTTAGTAACACATAAATTAAAGGGCTTACAGTATTTCTTGGTCTAAACTCTGTTTCATAGTATGAGGCCATCTTTCAAAAAATAATAACCTTACTTTTAAAAGGTTTAATGCTCAGCCAATTTTAAAGTTAAAAAGGCAGGAATTAAATAATTTTCCCTAGGGAAATATACCTTGGCGAGAACTACTATGATTCTCATGTTCCCAATCTCCCTCCCTCATGTGCAAGATATTTTAAATGTATTTAAACATCCTAGGATCTATTACATTTGTGCATTAAAACTAATCCAAAATTGAATTTCTATCTTCCAATTTAAAGTGAAGAAGTACATGGTATAAGTCACATTTACTATTAAAACTAATATAAAGCTATCAATTGTTTTCCTGGGTAGACATACCCAAATCCACTAGGATAATACTATATTGCTTAGATCTAATGACTTATCATTAGATTAATAAGCAGAGATTTTTATCCATCAGTCTCCTTTAAATTTGATTCACTTAATCTGTACTTCATTTTGGCAATACCTCTGCTATTCAAAGAGTTGGCAAAATCCTGGAATATAGACTCTTAGAGTTTAACTATAACATAGATGTGGATTGGCTCAAATATTTCTACATTTAAGAATTTCTTTTACAGATTCTGCCTCTAACTTAAATTTTAAATATTTTTATTAGCTGTAAACTAAAGTGATCAATAACATCACTTTAGTTTAAACCCACATCTGCTCATACACTATTTAAACAGCAGTGACATCCCTAAAACCTTATCACTATTTATGAGCCTTTATTGCATTAGTTCCAACATGCATGTAAACATCTTTCCTCCTCTCTACGTAGATGAATCTCCCAAGATCCAGTTTAAATACAGATTTATCTGTAAAATTGTTCTTTATTATTCTTATCCATGACATTCTCCCATTTCTGAATTCATTGTCAGCATGAGCCCTGACATCAAATAGTTAAAAATACCTTGTTGATTCAATGAAATCAAACTTCAAAAAATAACTAATGATATGAACTAGGGCCAAATGAGTGACATAAACCACAAGTGCATGTCTGAGGCAAGGAAAATCACCAGGAGTGGGCAATATCTGCGTTTTCTTGAAAAAAAAAGGCAACAGGGCCACAAAGAGAAATGCTGTCCATTTCATGAATAAGAACAGAAAATGATACTTTTGTAAATGAATATAACAGTGAAAAAAAAATTACCATTACTCATTTCTAGAAAATTTATTAGGAAATGTACATAAGGACATAATATGTTAACCATAACTTGTGAAACTAAAATATTTACCCCAAATCACCATGTTTCCTAAATTCTATCCTAAAATGACTTCAGAAAGATACCATTTCATGAACCAAATAAAACTAGATATAATTTAAATCATTGTTAAGTTGCAACAGTAGACTTTTTTTCTAATAGTAAGAACTTTTGTTGCCTTAAATGAATATTATGAACAGATCTATGTAGTGAGAAATTGCCTAGGTTTTCTTATCATCATTCAAAAAAGAAATAATCTGATTCTCTAGAGGAGAAAAGGGCATTTTGTCTCCTTACTACAGCATGATAGAAATATTTCTTAAAGAACATCAAACTCCCTTTGGTCCAATTCGATACTTTCCAGGTAACAATAAGATCTACCATCTTTTTTTCTTTGAGTAGACATAGTCTACTCACTATCCAAGAAACTGGGTTAATTTCTTATGATCTACTCCAGTGAACAGAGCAGAATTGCCTGCTTAAAGTGAATAAGCAGGCATTGTGTTTCATTAATCAATATCTTGTGAAATTGGTTCACTTGATTTGTACCTCATTTTGACAATATGTTTAAGTTAATGAAACAAAAATCTTAATATAAAACACTTAGAATAACTATACCTTTCCTCATAGTGTTCCAAAAATAATACTTTAACTATTATAGTTTTTATCTTAAATTAACTGTTTGAAGTAATCCATAACTAAAATATCAATAAATGTATTATTGGTAAAATATTCATAAGTATATTCAATAAATAATTAGAATTAATTTAAATCTGATTTAAAAGGAAAATTATTAATGAGTTCAGAATTAACTTTTTGATAATTAAAACAATAAATTATTGTTAAGAAATATGGGGTAGATAAAAATTTTAAAGTATATTGCATGTTTAAATTTCTTAAATTAATTATAATGCTATATTGGCCTTTGTCCTCTATAACAAATTATATGATTACATGTATCGGTGTTAAAGATGAACTGAGTTGAAAATAAAAATAGTTTTGAAAGTTAGATTTTTGTATATTTATTCTTAAAATGAACTAATTCCTTATAATTTATAACTTGCTTCTATGAAATAAAAAAGTAAAAAATTTTTGAATACCCTCAAGGTCTGTACTTCTCCAGTGATCTTCTAAACAAGGAACAAACCCAGCTGTTGCTAATTGTTGAGTTTTCAGAATAAATATTTCCTACATTAAATACCTCAAATCTTCTTTCATATAAAAAAAAACTTGGTCTGATGAAATTATCCATTTGCCATATCATCTCAGGCTTTTCAAAAATACACATATAAGCCCTGAAATTCATATTTGGGCAATGATAATAGCTTGTCAAGTTGATGACTCTTTGCTGATTCCTTCAAACTTTATTTTCATATTTACAGAAAGACTCAAGAGTGCAGAGAAAGTGTTATACAGATGGCAAATTAATATTGCTTATAATTTTCTTCATTTCTCTTCTTTCTTGTTCATCACTTGGTTTATTTGCATGAAAACAGGGCCTCTGATTCTTAAGAATTCATTTGCATGAATTGTCTCAGCACAAAAAGTCACAGTTCCTCATTAACAAGTAAAACTCTATGATCATAGAACAATAGAGTGTAAAGGTGAGGAGGACACCAGAAATATACAATCTACACTTTATAGAGATGAAGATAGTAAATTCTAGCAAATAAAAATTGTTTCAGCAAGATAACTCTTTAATTTTAACAAATGCCGAATTGTGCTCAATTTTACATGAATGCCAAATAATTATATGTTTTGCATTAAAAACCAGGGTCACCGAGGCATGTAAGGGATTTATTTTAGATCTCATATACAAAATCCTCTTTTGCTCGAGATGCTTATTGATGATGTTTTGAATGTTATTTATTTTCTCTTGGCATTATGATAATAAACTGCACAAAGGATAATAGCTTTAGATGAGGAATGCTTAGCCTATGCTGTTTTCTCTCTATTTTAATAATTCCACTTAATGCAAAAGGAGAAAAACTGAAAGAAATTTATGAGCAATCTTGTCTCTAGGCATAAGAGTTTTTCAAAGTTTCTTAACAAATGTGAATAATAAAATAAATACCTATGTTTAAATATTAAAAATGGCCTTTTATTTTGTATTAATATACTTTATTTTTAGAGCAGTTTTTGCTTTATAAAAAATTGAAGAGAAAGTTCAAAGAGTTCCCATATATTCCCCTCCCCAACAGCAATCTTTCTCCCCACCATCCACACACAATTCCCCCTATTATTAACATTTTCCATTTATGTGGTATATTTCTTACGGATCATGACCCAATATTGGTATATTATTATTATCTAAAGTTTGTAGTTTATATACAATTTATAGTATATATTAGGGTTCACAATTTGCATTGTTCAGTTTCGCAGGTTTGGACCAATGCATAGTATCATGTATCCACCCTAACTGCATCGTATTCTTATGCTATAGTTCCACTGCCCTAAATGTCCCCTGCTCTCACCTATCCATGCCTCCACTCCCCTTCCTTCACTCTGAAGCCATGGAAACCACTGGCTGTTTACCATCTCTATGGCTTTGCATTTTCCAGAATGTCATATAGTTGGAATCATATGACATGTAGTCTTTTCAGATTGCCTTCATTTAGTTAGTAATATAAATCTAAAGTTCTTCCTCTTCTACCTGGCTTGATAGCTTTTTAAAAATATATTTTGATAAGAATACCTAACATGAGATCTAACTTCTTAGCAGATTCATAACTGTACAATACAATAGGGTTACAACAGGCACACTGCTGTATAGAAAATCTAGAACCGGTTCATCCTGCATTACTGAAACTTTATACCCACTGATAAGCAGCTCCCCATTTCCCAATCCCCCTGCCCCAGCAATCATTGTCATTCTGCTCTTTGCTTCACTGAGTATAACTGTTTTAGATACCTCATATAAGTGGAATCATGCTGTTCTGTGACTAATTTATTTCACTTAGCCTAATTTCCTTCAGATTCATCCATGTTGTTTCATATTGCATGATTTCCTTCTTTAAGTTGGAGTAATAGTCAATTGTGTGTGTGTGTATATATATATATGTATATATACATATGTATACACACATACATACATATCACATTTTTTCTCATTTATTTATCTGCTTATGAAAATTTATTTTATAATAAACAAAACATAGTTACCAGCTTTGTAAATCTGGGCAAGTCACTTGATCTGACTGGATTCCTGATTAATAAGGTTAACAAAGACACTGCATAGCATTATGATAAAGAGCTACTTGAAGAATATATGCATGGCACTTAGAACAGTTGCAAGAATGTACTAAGTAGTAATTATAATTATTTTTGTTGTTAACAATATTTTTGTCTTTTTTATGCTGTGTGTGTGTGTGTGTGTGTGTGTGTGTGTCTGTGTGTATACACACAACATAGGGAAATTACTTGTCTTTAAGCAAGATAAAAAGAATAAAACTCCACTAGTCAGGGAAAACTACCATTGACCTTACAGTTGATTTTCTCCTACACAGTTTCTCAACAAAAATATTTCTCTTGAGTGTGTATAAAAAATCAGATTCTATTATATACGGTCTTTGGCAATGTGTTTTTAATTTTGCATTGCGACTTCAATTAGTAAGTATCCATATCATCACCTTAATGAATACATAATATTCGATTTTTGCATGTATTGCAAAGTAATTATTTGTATTCAATTCCAACAGCTATTTAGACTGATTTCTGGTTTTTTTCTTAAAACTTCTTAGAATAAAATCTTCGAACATAATATTCTCAATATTACTATTTTTAAAAGTAGCCAAACCAATAGATAAGACAGGGTACCCTCTTGTTTTAAATTTGTATTTATTTAATTGTAAGTGACCTTTTTTCTTAATTCTAATTTGTGTGTATTGACAATATCTTTTATTTTATTTAAAATTTGCAGCAACCCTAAGAGTTACACCTCATATCAATAATCTATAGTTCTTCGAGGATAAATTCAAAACATTTTTAATGTAATTTACTTAAATAAGAATAACCTAAATTGTTAAATACATATATTTCAAGGCCAATACTATGGAATTTCTAATTCTATATGTCTCAGAGGTCTAAGAAATTCATGTTTTTAATACACTCAATAATTTTTCCCTTACACACAAGTGTGCCAAGTAGTGAATAATCACTGGCCTAAACCTGGTATTTTTACTCAATATATTTCTGCAGAGTGTTTAAAAGTTATAGTAAGAATGGTTTTGTAAATATCTCAATAAAGTACTTAGGAATTTGCATTGCAAAATAGTTTCATAGAGGCTTTAAGTTGCTTCCAGTTACCAGGTCCATACATTATTTGCTTGCTATTTTTTCTCAATTTTTAAATTTTATTTAAATATCGAAGTTAATATAATATGGGAATTTTATTAAATTTGTAAATGAAATATAAGTGAAAAAATGGTAAAAACTTTTAGTTAAAGTATTTTAATTATCCCAGATATAGGACTCTCACTAAAGATTATGATAAATACCATAAATTGCAATGAAATTGATAATGTGTAAAATGTAATTGGGTAGACTCCCATATTTACCTATATAAATTAGCTATTTTTAGGGATGATTTTTGTTCTCCAGGATATTTTCACTCTAATCCTCTCTGGCTCTTTTAAAAAAATTTCCCTCTACATTTTATACAGTTTTTTTCATACTCTACAGTAGATTTAAATGTACTATTAGAATTTTTCTCATTGATATCCATTCTAATATCCAGTTTCTTATTTATTTCCTCTTCTGTTTTGTTTAGTATTACTTTGTTCATGTCATCTTGCTTATGCCTTGCAGATTTCCCTTTTCACATTTTACAGAAGCAATTTACAGTATTGATGTCAATTTGTTTTCTAAAACTGCATTTGAGTTTCTGTCACAATAATTTCCAGTTATGTTTAACTTCTGAATTACGAACTTTTATTTCATTTTATTCTTTCAAGGTACATTTTCTGGGAACCCATGCATCTCCCATTTTATTTAGTAACAAATGAGAAGAGGTATCCAAGCCTAATATTTTCTACTAGACATATTGAAGTGGGCTTACTTCTGTTAACGTTTCATTCAGAAGTCAACTACATGCAACTGGGTGCAGTCAGCTCTCATCTGAATTCCCTGATTCCCATAGGAATTAATCCAATTTAGCTTTTCTGGTCTGACCTGGTGGAAACTCATTCTATACCTACTATATTAACAAAGAACATAAAAATCCCATATTCCTAATAATTGTCACCACTACATTTTCCTTGTTTCCTCTAATTTTATCTACATCTTTAAAATGATATATTCTAAGTTTGAGAGGAGGAGATGGAGCAAGATGGCTGAAATGAGCTCTCCAGTGATGGTCACCCACTGGAGTCACACCAAATTGAACAACTATCCATGCCGAAATGCACTTCCTAAGAACGAAAAATAAGGTGAACAATCACAGTACCTGGTTTTAACATCATATTAAAAAAAGAGACACTGAAGAGGTAGGAAAGACAGTCTTGAGTTACCCACACCACTTCTCTCCCATCCCCTCTTAGTGGCCACATGGCATGGAGACATAATCTGTGCACTTGATGGAGGGAGAGCACAGTGATTGAGGGACTTAGCATTGGAACTTAGTGTTGCCCTGTGACAGCGGAAAGCAACACAGGGCAGAACTCAGTCATGGGGTCATTTTGGTGGGATCATGTTGACGATCCTGGCAAGAGGCAAATTGTCCATCCGAGCAGTCAGAACCTGAGTTCCAGCAAGCCCTGCTACCACAGACAAAAGTGCTTTGGGGCTCTAAATAAACTTGAAGGGCAATCTATGCTACAGGACTGCAATTTCTAAGCAAGACCTGGTGCTGTGCTGGGCTTAGAGTCAAAGGACTTTGTCTTGTGGCTTGGGTTCCAGCTTAGCCACAGTAGAACAGAGCACCAGGGAGAAACCTAAGATTCATAACTCAAGGCCCTGCTCCCAGATAGCATCTCTGAATGCACCCAGGGCTAGGGGGAACTCACGCTGGAGGGAATGACACAGGCATGGTTGTATTTGCCACCTACTGATTATAGAGCGTTGGGCCTTGAGTGAACATAAGAAGTAGCCAGGTAGTGGACACCATGGGTCTTGGGTGAGATCCAGTGCTGTGCTGCCTTCAGGTATGACCCAGCACAGTACCAGTGGTGGCGGTCACAGGAGTGCTTGTGTCACCGCTCCCTCAGCTTCAGCCAGCTAAGCACAGAGAGAGACTCCTCCTACCTCAAACACATTTAATAATCAAACTCCCAAAGGTCAAGGATAAAGAAAAGATCCTAAAAGAAACAAGGAAAAAGAGCCAAATAACATACAAAGGAGCTCCAATATGTCTGGCAGCAGACTTTTCAGTGGAAACCTTACAGGCAAGAAGACAGTGGCATGACATATTTCAAGAGTTGAAGGAAAAAAAAAAAAAAAAACTTGTATCATAGAATAGGATATCCAGCAAAAAATGTCCTTCAAACATGAAGGACAAATAAAGACTTTTCCAGACAAACAAGATCTGAGAGATTTCATCAATACCAGAACTGTCCTACAGAAAATCTTAAAAGGAGTTCTTCAGTCTCAAAGAAAGGAACATTAATGAGCAATAAAAAAACATCCTCTGAAAGAATAAAACAAACTGGTAATAGTAGGCACATAGAAAAACACATATTATAACACTGTAATTGTCGTGTGTAAAGTACTAATACATGAGTAGAAAGACTAAAAGATGAACCTATCAAAAATAGTAACTACAACAACTTTTCAATACATAGTCAATGCAGTAAGATATAAATAGAAACAACAAAAAGTAAAAAAGAGAGGCAAGTAGTTAAAGTGTAGAGTTTTTATTAGTTTTCTCTGTTCGTGTGTTAGTTTGTTGGTATACGCAAACAATGTAAACTTGTCATCAATTTAAAATAATGAGATATCATTTGCAAGCCTCAGGGTAAACTCAACTCGAAAAATCCTATCACAAACACCCAGAAAATTAAAACATAACACTACGAAAATTGCTTTGACTAAAAGGAAAACAAGAAGGAAAGAAAGTAGAGAGAGCACATGACAAAACAACCAGAAAACAGATAACAAAATGGCAGGAGTAAATCCATACTTATCAATAATAATATTGAATGTCAGTTGACCAAACTGTCTAATCAAAAGACATAGAGTGGCTAAAGGAATTTTTTAAAAAGACCCAACAATCTATTGCCTGTAAGCAGCATATCTCACTGCTAAAGAAACCCATAGACTGCAAATGAAGGGAAGGAAAAAGATATTCCATTCGAATGCAAAGGAAAAAAGAGCAAGAGTAGCTATGCTTATGTCAGACAAAATAGATTTTAAGACAAAAACTATAAAAATAAACAAATGTTGTTATATAATGGTAAAAGGGTCAATTCAGCAAGATAATACAATAATTTTAAATATATATGCACCCAAAACTGGAGCTCCGGGATATATAAAGCAAATATTATTCGAGTTAAAGAGAGAGATAAACCCCAATACAATAAGAGGTAGAGACTTCAATATCACACCTTCAGCATTGGACAGCTCTCCCAGATGGAAAATCAACAAGGAAACTTGAGTTTATCTGCACTAGAGACTAAATGGACCTAATTAATATTTACAGGACATTTCATCCAATGGCTGCAAAATGCACAATCATTTTCTCAGCACACGAATCATTCTCAAAAACAAACCATATGGTAAACCACAAAACAAGTCTTAAAAAATTAAAAAACAATGAAATTATATCAATTATCTTTTCTGACCACAATAGAATAAAACTAGAAATTAATAAGAAGAGGAATTTTGGAAATTATACAAACACATAAAAATTAAACCATATGCTCCTGAGTGACCAGTGAGTCAATGAAGAAATTAGGAAGATAATATAAAATATTCTTGAGACATATGATAATGAAAACAAAACATATTAAAGCCTATGGGATATAGAGAATGCAATACAAAGAGCAAAACTTATAACAATAAACACCTACATGAAAAGGTAGAAAAACTTGAAATAACCTAATGTGAATCTTAAAGAACTAAAAAAGCAAGAGCAAACCAAACAAAGTCAAAGATAATAAATAATAGAAATCAGACAATAAATAAATAAAATTGAAGAAAACACACAAAAAGAGCAATGAAAGGAACAGCTGGTTTTTTGAAAAGATAAACAAAATCTACAAACTTTTAGCCAGACCTAATTTTTTAATATAGAGAGAAGATCCAAATAAATAAAATCAGAAATGAAAAGGGAAACATCACAATCAATAGCATAGAAATCCGAAGGATCATTAGTGACTACCATGAGCAATTATATATCAATAAACTGGAAAATCTGGAAGAAATGGATACATTCCTAGACATATGAAACCCACCAGGATTGAAGCATGAAGAAATCCCAAATCAGAATAGAACAATACCAATTAAAGAAATTGAAGTTCTTTTTTTTTATTATTATTATACTTTAAGTTTTAAGGTACATGTGTACAACGTGCAGGTTAGTTACATATGTATACATGTGCCATGCTGGTGTGCTGCACCCATTAACTCGTCATTTAGCATTAGGTATATCTCCTAATGCTATCCCTCCCCCCTCCCCCTACCCCACAAAATTTTCACAACCTACTCATCTGACAAAGGGCTAATATCCAGAATCTACAATGAACTCAAACAAATTTACAAGAAAAAAACAAACAACCCCATCAAAAAGTGGGCGAAGGGCATGAACAGACACTTCTCAAAAGAAGACATTTATGCAGCCAAAAAACACATGAAAAAATGCTCACCATCACTGGCCATCAGAGAAATGCAAATCAAAACCACAATGAGATACCATCTCACACCAGTTAGAATGGCAATCATTACAAAGTCAGGAAACAACAGGTGCTGGAGAGGATGTGGAGAAATAGGAACACTTTTACACTGTTGGTGGGACTGTAAACTAGTTCAACCACTGTGGAAGTCAGTGTGGCAATTCCTCAGGGATCTAGAACAAGAAATCGAAGTTCTAATAAAAAGTCTCCCAGCAAAGAAAAGCCCAGGACCTGATGGCTTCACTGCTCAATTCTACGCAACATTTAAACAGGAACTAATACCAGTCCTACTCAAAGTATTCCAATAAAAAGAGGAGGAGGGAATACTTCCAAACTCATTCTATGAGGTCAGTATTACTGTGATACCAGACAAAGACACATCAGAAAAGTTAAACTACAGGCTAATATCCCTGATGAACATTGATGCAAAAATGCTCAACAAAACACTTACAAATCAAATTCAACAACACATTAAAGAGATCATTCATCATGACTAAGTTGGATTTATCCCATGGATGGAAGGATACGTAATATATGCAAACCATTCAACATATGCAAATCAATCAATATGATACATCATATATCTACAGAATAAAGGAAAAATCATATGATCATTTCAATCAATGCTGAAAAAGCACTTGATAAAATTCAAAATCTCTTTATGATAAACTGTGGATAGAAGGAACATACCTTAATACAATAAAAGCCATATATGACAGACCCATAGCTAGTATCATACTGAATGGGGAAAAACTAAAATCCCTTCCTCTAAGATCTGGGACAAGACAAGGAAGCCCACTTTCACCATTGTTATTCCACCTAACAATGGTTAAGTAAGTCCTAGCTAGAGCAATCAGAGAAGAGAAAGAAATAAAGGACATCCAATTAGAAAAGAAGATGTCAAATTATCCTTGTTTGCAGATGATATAATCTTATATTTGGGAAAACCTAAAGATTCCACCGAGAAACTATTAGAATTGATAATCAAATTTAGTAAGTTGCAAGATACAAAGTCAACACACGAAAATCAGTAGCATTTCTATGTGTCGACACTAAACAATCTGAAGAAGAAATCAAGAAATTCATCCTGTTTATAATAGGTACAAATAAAATAAAATAAAATACCAAGGAATAAAATTAAACAAGGAAGTGAAAGATCTCTACAATGAAAGCCATAAATATTGATGCAAGACATTGAAGAGGACCAAAAACAGGAAGCATATTTCATGTTCATGGATTAGAAAAATTAATATAGTTAAAATTTTCATACTGCCCAAAGCAATCTACAAATTCAATGCATTCCCTATCAAAATACCAAAGACATCCTTCACAGAAATAAACAAAATAATCTTAAAATTTACATGGAATCACAAAAGACTCAGAGTAGCCAAAGTTAGAATGAGAAAAAAATAACAAAACTGGAGGAATCACATTACCTGACTTCAAGTTATACTACAGCACTATAGTAACCAAAATGGTGTGGTACTGGCATAAACAGACACATAGACCAATGTAACAGAATAGAGAACCCAGAAAGCCTATAATGAACTCATTTTTGATACAGGTGCCAAGAACATACACTGGGGAAAAGACAGCCTCTTCAATAAGTGGTGCTGGGAAAACTAGATATTCATATGCAAACGGATGAAACTAGACCCCCATTTTTTGCTATATACTCAAGTCAAATCAAGATGAATTAAATACTTAAATCTGAGACCTCAAACAATGAAACTACTACAGGAAAACTGGGGAAAATCTCCAGGACATTGGACTGGGCAAAAATTTCTTGATTAAGACCCCACAAGCTGAGGCAACTGAAGCAAAAATGGACAAATGGGATCACATCAAGTTAAAAAGCTTCTGCACAGCAAAGAAAACAATCAAAAAAGTTAAAAAGAAGACACAAAATGGGAGAAAATATTTTCATACTATCCATCTGACAAGGGACTAGTAGCCTGAAATAAGGAGCTCAAACTCATTAGGAAAACATTTATAATATGATTTTAAAATGGGCAAAAAATCTGAATAGACATTTCTCAAAAGAAGGTATACAAATGATAAACGGTTATATAAAAAGGTGCTTAATATCACTGATCATTAAATAAATGTAAATCAAACTACAATGAGATATTATCTCATCCTGGTTAAAAAGAATATTATCCAAAAGGCAGATAATAACAAATGCCAGAGAGGATATAGAAAAAAAAAAGAGAAATCTTCATGCAGTGTTGATGGGTATGTAAATTAGTACAGCCACTATGGAGAACAGATTGGAGGTTACTCAAAAAGCTAAAAAGTAGCACCACCATATAATCCAGCAAAACCCGTGCTAAGTGTATACTCAAAGGAAACAAGCATATCAAATAGATATATGCAATCTCATGTTTATCACAGCACTATTCACAATAGCCAATATTTAGAAGCAATCTGGGTCTATCAACAGATGAATGAATAAAGAAAATGTGGTACATATACACAGTAGAGTGCTATTCAACCATAAAAAGAATGAGATTCTGTTATTTGCAACATAAATGGAACTGGAGGTCATTATGTTAAGTGAAATAAGCCAGGGAGAGAAAAGCAAATTTCACATGTTCTCACTTATTTGTGGGAGTTAAAAATTAAAGCAATTGAACTCATGTTGACAGAGTAGAAGGATGGTTACCAGAGGCTGGGAAGGGGAGTGCAGGGGTTGTGGGGAAGTAGGAATGGTTAATGGGTACAAACATATAATTAGATAGAATGAATAACATACAGTATTTGATAGCACCACAGTGTGACTTTAGTCAAGAATAATTTCTTGTACATTTTTAAAATAACTAAAATTGTGTAATTGGATTGTAACACAAAGAAGGGATAAATGCTTGAGGTGATGGATTTCCCCATTACCCTGATGTGATTATTATGCATTATATGCCTGTTTCAAAATATCTGATTTACCTCATAAACATATACACTTATTATGTGCCCATGAAAATAAAAAATAAATAAATATTTTTAAAATTGTATATTACATATCTTTTAAAATGGAATGTTTAAATACCTTTGCATCCTCCTCATTTTGGTTTGATTCCTTACCATCATTTATTGCTCCTCAATGGATGAGAGCAGAAACTGATAGGAAAGAAAAGAGAGGGTACTAGAAATCCCATTATATCAATGAGGCCACATCTGTAAAATAGAAAGTCATGATTAGATCTGGGGGTTTCTGATATAATTTTTAGGCCATAGACAATGGAAAAAAATTACCTACAAATTTGCACTGCTCAGGACAGCAATGAACATGTGAACTGTCAATCATGTTTCTTTACTTAACTCTGTATAATTACCAGGTCGTTACTAGAATTTCTTCCAAAATTCTGGAAATATATTGATAGCATTTTGTTTTTTCTTCTTCTTTGTTCTTCTGGCAGTCATAGTTATGTTAGAAAGAAGTTTTTCGAAGACACAGGAGCAAATTCAAGCAAGAACTCTTTTTATTAATAAAAAAGTAAAGAATCAGAATCACTTCTAATATATCTTCAGCTGTGTGCCTGGTTATTCCTTCCCAATCCCAAAAGATCATGTTTTGTTTGTTTGTTTGTTTGTTTCTTAAAACAGCAACACTGAGAGAACAAAATCCAAGTCCTTCAGGAGGAAATTAAATATTTAGATGGTGTAGCCCCCAAACAAATGACCAGCTTCCCTTCCTCTTCCAGCCCTAAACTAGCAACAGAGAGATTTATGTTATGTAGGAAACATGCCTACCTATACACTTCTGCCTGTCTTTGCTAATGCTACCCTTTCCCTGCATTTTCCATATTGAAACCCTTCTAGTCCTTAAGGCATCTCACAAATGATGCATAGTTAGAAGCTTTATTTGTATTTTCTCATTAAGTGAATCTATTCCCCTTTATGCCACATTCTGATTTTCAAAACACTATTTTGCAGTACTCACAAATAAGTATTGAATCTCGTTCATGTCTTACCTAATTAGTTCTTCTCTTCATCTCTATAGTAGCTGTTTTAAAACCTCACGCTTGTCAGATACCCTGTTCCACTACTCCCCATTCACCTTTACAGAGAAAATGTCATCCATCCCATTCTGTAGGTTGCCTTTTCACTCTGATGGTAGTTTCTTTTGCTGTGCAGAAGCTCCTTAGTTTAATTAGATCCCATTTGTCAATTTTGGCTTTTGTTGCCATTACTTTTGGTGTTTTAGACATGAAGTCCTTGCCCATGCCTATGTCCTGAATGGTATTGCCTAGGTTTTCTTCTAGGGTTTTTATGGTTTGAGGTCTAACATTTAAGTCTTTAATCCATCTTGAATTAATTTTTGTATAAGGTGTAAGGAAGGGATCCAGTTTCAGCTTTCTACATATGGCTACCAGTTTTCCCAGCACCATTTATTAAATAGGGAATCCTTTCCCCATTGCTTGTTTTTCTCAGGTTTGTCAAAGATCAGATGTTTGGGGCCGGGCGCGGTGGCTCACGCCTGTAATCCCAGCACTTTGGGAGGCCGAGGCGGGTGGATCATGAGGTCAGGAAATCGAGACCATCCTGGCGAACAAGGTGAAACCCCGTCTCTACTAAAAATACAAAAAATTAGCCGGGCGCAGTGGCGGGCGCCTGTAGTCCCAGCTACTTGGGAGGCTGAGGCAGGAGAATGGCGTGAACCCGGGAAGCGGAGCTTGCAGTGAGCCGAGATTGCGCCACTGCAGTCCGCAGTCTGGCCTGGGCGACAGAGCGAGACTCCGTCTCAACAAAAAAAAAAAAAAAAAAAGATCAGATGTTTGTAGCTGTGTGGTATTATTTCTGAGGGCTGTGCTCTGTTCCATTGGTCTATATCTCTGTTTTGGTACCAGTACCATACTGTTTTGGTTACTGTAGCCTTGTAGTATAGTTTGAAGTCAGGTAGTGTGATGCCTCCAGCTTTGTTCTTTTGGCTTAGGATTGACTTGGCAATGTGGGCTCTTTTTTGGTTCCATATGAACTTTAAAGTAAGTTTTTCCAATTCTGTGAAGAAAGTAATTGATAGCTTGATGGGGATGGCATTGAATCTATTAATTACCTTGGGCAATATGGCCATTTTCATGATATTGATTCTACCTATCCATGAGCATGGAACATTCTTCCATTTGTTTGTGTCCTCTTTTATTTCGTTGAGCAGTGATTTGTAGTTCTCCTTGAAGAGGTCCTTCACAACGCTTGTAAGTTGGATTCCTAGGTATTTTATTCTCTTTGAAGCAATTGTGAATGGGAGTTCACTCATGATTTGGCTCTCTGTTTGTCTGTTATTGGTGTATAAGAATGCTTGTGATTTTTGCACATTGATTTTGTATCCTGAGACTTTGCTGAAGTTGCTTATCAGCTTAAGGAGATTTGGGGCTGAGACGAAGGGGTTTTCTAAATATACAATCATGTCATCTGCAAACAGGGACAATTTGACTTCCTCTTTTCCTAATTGAATACCCTTTATTTCTTTCTCCTGCCTGATTGCCCTTGCCAGAACTTCCAACACTATGTTGAATAGGAGTGGTGAGAGAGGGTATCCCTGTCTTCTGTCAGTTTTCAAAGGGAATGCTTCCAGTTTTTGCCCGTTCAGTATGATATTGGCTGTGGGTTTTTCATAAATAGCTCTTATTATTTCAAGATACGTCCCATCAATACCTAATTTATTGAGAGTTTTTAACATGAAGGGCTGTTGAATTTTGTCAAAGGCCTTTTCTGCATCTATTGAGATAATCATGTGGTTTTTGTCTTTGGTTCGGTTTATATTCTGGATCGTGCTCATTGATTTGCGTATGTTGAACCAGCTTTGCATACCAGGGATGAAGCCCACTTGATCATGGTGGATGAGCTTTTTGATGTGCTGCTGGATTCAGTTTACCAGTATTTTATTGAAGATTTTTGCATCGATGTTCATCAGGGATATTGGTCTAAAATTCTCTTTTTTTGCTGTGTCTCTGCCAGGCTTTGGTATCAGGATGATGCTGGCCTCATAAAATGAGATAGGGAGGATTCCCTCTTTTTCTATTGATTGGAATAATTTCAGAAGAAATGGTACCAGCTCCTCCTTGTACCTCTGGTAGAATTCAGCTGTGAATCCATCTGGAACAGACACTTCTCAAAAGAAGACATTTATGCAGCCAACAGACACGTGAAAAAATGCTCATCATCACTGGCTATCAGAGAAATGCAAATCAAAACCACAATGAGATACCATCTCACACCAGTCAGAATGGTGATCATTAAAAAGTGAGGAAACAACAGGTGCTGGAGAGGATGTGGAGAAATAGGAACACTTTTACACTGTTGGTGGGACTGTAAACTACTTCAGCCATTGTGGAAGACAGTGTGGCAATTCCTCAAGGATCTAGAACTAGAAATACCATTTGACCCAGCCATCCCATTACTGGGTATATACCCAAAGGATTATAAATCATGCTGCTATAAAGACACATGCACACGTATGTTTATTGTGGCACTATTCACAATAGCAAAGACTTGGAACCAACCCAAATGTCCAACAATGATAGACTGGATTAAGAAAATGTGGCGCATGTACACCATGGAATACTATGCAGCCATAAAAAATGATGAGTTCATGTCCTTTGTAGGGACATGGATGAAGCTGGAAACCATCATTCTCAGCAAACTATCGCAAGGACAAAAAACCAAACACCACATGTTCTCACTCATAGGTGGGAATTGAACAATGAGAACACTTGGACACAAGAAGGGGAACATCACACACTGGGGCCTGTTGTGGGGTGGGGGGAGAGGGGAGGGATAGCATTAGGAGATGTACCTAATGTAAATGACGAGTTAATGGGTGCAGCACACCAAGATGGCACATGTATACATATGTAACAAACCTGCATGTTGTGCACATGTACCCTAGAATTGGAAGTATAATAAAAAGAAAAAAAAGTCATCTATGAGATAGGAACTGTATTAAGTATCAAAATTAATCTTTATGCTAATATGTCTTCTCCTGTCATCACTATGGAAGACCCTCCATTTTTGCTGCCAAAGATTAATTTCTTTACTCATACATTGGGTTCAATCTGCCCTCTTTACGCTGAGTAATTAACCTTGTCAGATAACAACTAGTTTATTTTAATAACAATCTCTTTTCATATTTTATCTCTTCATCAGTATTTCAAAATATTCAATATTTCTGACATTAACATTATTTCTGTCATCTCAAAAATAACTTTTAAAAACATATTTAACATCTACAATATTTAGGTGCTGTGAATATAAGAAAATAGTTGCTCCCTTTGGCTTGCATTTATTCTTTATAATTATTAGGATCAATAAAATAATACCTTCTAAGTGTCTTTTTCTGCCCTATGTTCCTCTTGAGCTACAAAACCACAAACCAAAATTCTTATGAGAATTTCCATGTGTCCTCCACAGTAAGCAAATCCTTCCTCTTATTGTATTTCTCTTGCAAAGTCCCTTACTTAGTCAATACTGACACAATTCAGCCCATTGGGAAAATTAGAAACTTGTCTGTATTATTTGACTTTTCATTGTCTCTCAGTACTAACCCCCAATCACCACCAGACCCTGTCGTTGTCTTAAAATTATCTTTTCAATCTTCTCACATCTCTTCTTATTCATATTCATACTTACGGTCCCAAACACCTGGTTAACAACATTCTCCTGAGTTCTCTTTATTCAGATAAAATCTATAATTTACAGAGCAGATCAGAGGAATGTTTCTAAATTACACAACTGATAGTGCTGGCTAAAAATCTCAACGTGCTTCAAAGGCTCATTATCTCCAAGAAAATGCCAAATTCTTTAGTGTGACACAGAAGGCTCTTCTGCCCACCTGAATGTTCCAGTAGAAGATGTATTATTTACTCACCACCTTTTCTTGTTTCCCTGAGAGCAGCACACCCTATTTTTTCCCTTGAAACAGAATAAGATAAGGATGCCCTCTCTCACAACTCCTATTCAACATAAGATTAGAAGTCCTTCCCAGAGCAATCAGGTAAGAGAGAGAATTTATTTATAAAAGGCATCCAAATAGGAAGAGAGGAAGTCAAACTGTCCCTATTTGCAGATAACATTATTCTATATCTAGAAAACCTCATAGTTTCTGCCCCTAAACTCCTTAAGCTGATAGACAACTTCAGCAAAGTTTCAGGATACAAAATTGATGTACAAAAATCAGTAGCATTCATATGCACCACGACATTCAAGCTGAGAGCCAAATTAGGAACACAATCCTAGTTACAATTGCTACAAAAAAAGAATAAAATATCTAGAAATATGTCTAACCAGGGAGGTGAAAGATCTCTGCAATGAGAATTTAAAAACACTGCTCAAATAAATCAATGATGAAGGCTGGGTACGATGGCTCACACGTGTAATTCCAGCACTTTGGGAGGCCAAGCCAGGGAGATCATCTGAGGTCAGGATTTCGAGACCAGCCTGGCCAACGTGGAGAAACTCTGTCTCTACTAACAATAGAAAAATTAGCTGGGGTGGTGACAGGTGCCTGTAATCCCAGCTACTCAGGAGGCAGAGGCAGAAGAAGTGCTTGAACCCGGGAGGCAGAGGTTGCAGTGAGCTGAGATCATGCCACTGCACTCCAGCCTGGGCAACAGAGTGAAACTCTGTCTCAAAAAAAAAAAAAAAAAATGATGACACAAACAAATGCAGAAATATTCCATGCTCATAGATAGAAATAATCAATATTGTTAAAATAGTCATAATGATGACAATGGTGACCTGTCTGCAGTAGCTGCTGCCATGACACCAGCTGCAGTTGGGGAGGGGCAGCTGGGACCGTGTGCTCCACAGAGTCTGAAGGAGCCAGAAACAGGAGGAAGCCCCACCCCCTTTCAAGTGAGAGGGGCGGGAACCCTGCCCTCCTGGACACAGCTGCAGCTGTGCAGCTGCTGCTGTGGACCCAGGCATCTCTGCACTCTTGGGGGCCTGTGAAACCCCCCTACCCCACAGGCTTGGAAGTGCCTGCTCCTGCTGCCTGGCCTCTCTCTGCTCCTGCTGCCTACTCTGATTTTGGAGCAAAGTTGTGGCCAAGCACAGGTGCTGTCACAGCCCAGCCAGGTGTGCGTGCACACAAGGCAGTGCTGACACATCAGTCCCCTGCCACCTTGGCCCGCTCCAGATTTTGAGCACTAATAGGCATGGTAAGTAGGCTGAGGGAGGCTGAGGGAAGGCTAATGGTGGCTCAGCACTGGCCTCCAGGCACCCCTCAGTATGAACAGCCTGGGCACTGTGGGCACCATTGATGGCACATTAACGGCAGCAGCAGGGAGACAGGCTCCTGGGTGGAAAGTGGTGGGTCACCAGTGAAATCCCACCATCAGGCCAGAGACAGCTTGAGGCCTGGGGGCCAGGCTGCCAGTTCTGCAGATGTGAGTGAGAACTTACGGTGCTTTCTCTGGGCCCACCTATGGCTGTCCATGGATCAATCAGCATGCACTTCCTCCCCTTTGAAGCCCATAAAAACCACTGGACTCAGCCAGACTCAGGCAGATGACAGGACTTCCCCACAGAGAGGAGCTACCCACACTGGGTCTCCTTTCTGCTGAGAGCTGAGCAGACGATGTGATGACCTGCCTGTGGAGAGGAGCTACCCACTGCGGGTCTCCTCTCTGCTGAGATCTGCACACTCATGCACATGACGTGCCTGCAGAGTGGATCTCCTCTAAGCTGTTCTGTCACTCAATAAAGCACCTCTTCACTTTGCTCACTCTCTACTTGTCTGCATGCCTCATTCTTCCTAGGCACAGAACGAGAACTTGGGACCTACAAAATGGCACCACTGAAAGATCCGTAACACAACCAGAGCTGAAATGCCTCTTGCTCACCACATTGTGAGTGACAAGAAAGAGAGAAGAGAGGAGAAAAGAGCTGTGGCCCAGATCTAGGAGACACGTCTGTGACACCCTCTTTGGAGCGCTGTAGTTTCTGGCATCTTCAAGCTTCCAGGTGTTCCACCGCATTCCCTGGTGCCCTCTGTGGAAGCTGCTTGCAGTGCACCTGTTTCAGCTACAGGCTCAGAGGGCACCAGTGCCCTTGCTGGTGCCTGGAGCTGCCTGCCCTGCTGCAGCCAGCATGCAAGGCTGTGCACAGTGGCTGAACCCTGTGCTTGCTCGCTCACACACCCCTCACTGCTCTGTTCCTGCTTACCCTTGGCAGGCATGGAATCCAGTTCAGCAGTGCGAGCCAAGCACAACCTACCAGGTCAAGTGTACAGAATGAGTCCAGCAGGCCTGAGCAAAACTCAGGCAAAGGCACCATGGGCCACAGAGGTTTCTGGCTGGAAAGGCAACACCCCAAGCATCCTGCGACAATACTACCCAAATCAATTTATAGATTAAATGCTATTCCTATCAAACTACCAATAACATTCTTCAAATAACTAGAAAAAAAGTATTTTACAATTCACATGAAACTAAAAATGAGACCAAATAGACAAGGCGATACTAAGCAAAAAGAACAAAACTGGAGGTATTGTATTACCTGACTTCAAACTACTATACGGCTAGAGTAACCGAAACAGCATGTACCGATAGA
The DNA here is from genome assembly GCF_000001405.40 of Homo sapiens. Lineage (NCBI taxonomy): Eukaryota > Metazoa > Chordata > Mammalia > Primates > Hominidae > Homo > Homo sapiens. The sequence continues at coordinate 80,872,206 of NC_000003.12, forward strand.
AAAACAGACACACAGACCAATGAAACAGAAAAGAGAGCCCAGTAATAATGCTGCACATCTATAGCCATCTGATCTTCAACAAAACTGACAAAAATAAGCAATGGAGAATGGACTCACTATTCAATAAATAGTTCTGGTATAACTCACTAGCCATATGCAGAAGATTGAGACTGAACTCCTTCCTTACACCATATACAAAATCAACTCAATATGGGTTAAAGACTTAAATATGAAACCTAAAACTATTAAAACCCTGGAAGATAACCTAGGAAATACCATTTTGGACATAGAAATTGACAAAGATTTAATGATGAAGACACCAAAAGCAATTTCAACAAAAGCAAAAATTGACATGTGAGACCTAATTAAACTAAAGAGCTTCTGGACAGCGAAAGATACTGCCAACGGGGTAAACCGACAATCTACAGAATGGGAAAAATATTTGCAAACTATGCATTCAACAAAGGTCTAATATCCAAAATCTATCAGGAACTTAAATAAATTTACAAGCAAAAACAAACAACCCCATTAAAAAGTGGGCAAAAGAAATGAACAGACACTTTTCAGAAGAAGGCACACATGTGGCCAAGAAGTATATGAAAAAATCCTCAATGTCAGAAATGATCTAAATCAAAACCACAGTGAGATACTATCTGGCACTAGTTAGAATGGCTATTATTATAAAATTAAAAAACAACAGATTGGTGAGGTTGCAGAGAAAAGTGAAAATTTATAGACTGTTGGTGAGAGTATATTTAATAAATTAGTTCAGCCATTGTGGAAAGCAGTGTGGCAATCCCTCAAAGAACTAAAAACAAAATTACCGTTTGACCCAACAATCCCCATTATTGGGTATACAGCCAAAGAAATATAAATCATTCTGTCATAAAGATACATACACATGTATGTTCAATGCAGCACTTTTCACAATAGCCAAGATATGGAATCAATCTAAATGCCCATCAATGGTAGATTGGATAAAAAAAATATGGTACATATACACCATGGAATAGTATGCAGCCATTAAAATAGTGAGATCACGTCCTTTCTAGCAACAGGGATGTTCCTTAGTAAACTAATGCAGGAACAGAAAGATCCAAATACCACATGTTATCACTTATAAGTAGGAGCTAAATGATAACATCACATGAATACAAAAAGCAGAACAACAGATACTAGGCAGACTAGAGGGTGGAGGGTTGGAGGAGGGCAAGGATCAGAAAAATATTGGTGCCATGATACCCATTCAGTACTATGCTCAGTACCTGTGTGACAAAATAATCTATACAGCAAAACCCCATGACATGAGTTTACCTATGTAACAAACCTGTACATGTGCCCCTGTATCTAGAATAAAAGTTAAAAGAAATCTAAAAAAAAGACTTTTCCTAATCAGAAATTTTATTTCTTCTCCCATGCTCCTGTGACTCCAACCTGTTTTGAGGGCCTCCATATACCCCTTTCTTTGTCGTTGTCAGACACATGCAGAGGACCCATTGAAAGTCTCTAGGATCTAAAGAATAACTGAGCCATGTAATGGAAACAGCCACTGTCTTTCTGAAATGCAGAACTCTCAACTGATTTTCAGTGGACAATTGTTTTGTGATAAACCACAACATTTTTGCGATAAATCATAAATGTATGGTACCTTTTTATTACTAATTGTAGTAACAAGCAAGTTACATTACAATAAACATGAGTTATACTACCATAATTAGTATATTTAGTGGAAGAAAGTTTAATTACAACAATAAAGTCCTTCATAGATGGATTGGCTAGCACAATAGACTAAATGAAAAGAGATATTTTTTATTTTTATTTTTTGCCATAAAGATAATGTCTGTGAATATTCAACAAAATTTAGCACAAAAGTAGAAATAGATAAAAATTATAAAATAAATGCTAATGGTTATGAGAAATCCCCGCTATAGTTACAGGAATGTAAAATTAGTTCCAGAAAGCAAGATATGTGAGAATGAAGAGGAAAAAAATTACTGGAGAAATTCTGAGAAAAAAATTCAGTTCGCTAGAGTAATATATAGAATTTCAAATGTAAATTACTCATCCAATAATAAGCAGAATAAATTAACTACATTAGACTCGTCCTTGGGAAATATAGCATTCCAAAGACAAGTGGATTCTAAATTTTTATGAAAGAGGAACAAAAATGAATCAATTTATTTCAAAGTTTCAGTAGTTGCACTTTCACCAGATTTCCTTTTAGTAATACTGAGTACAACAACAAAGGCCTTCAAAGGGATGAGAAAAAATAATTTTCACTCCAGAAGTGTATTCATTCAAATTGCAGAATGAGTGTCAGGAAACAAGAAAACATTTGCAGACATACAAGGCTGAAAGGTTTTTTGTTTATAATTTCTATGAAAGATATGACATCATGTACTTAAAAAAATGAAAAACAAGAAAGAAATACTTGGAGAAAACTAGGAGGTAGTGAAGGGAAGTCACTGCTTGATAGCTCTGAAATATACCAAGATTCTGTGGATGCAGATTGGTATCGAGAAGGGAAATTCTCAATATAGAAGGTAGATGAATGCTGAAAAAAGTAAAATTGAGGAAAATTTTTTTTAAATTATTAGAGATTTAAATTAAACTAAAGTGAACTAAAACTAAAAGTAAACTAAAATATAACATGGCATTAATTGATTGATGCAAGGATTAAGAAAATCTTTTGACCCTGATGCTATTACCTTTGCCTTTGAATAACAAAAGTCAATTTATGATTAACTGCTTGGCCCAAGAGAAACAAATATTATGTGGATTTAATAATAAATATAATAAATTTGTTTTTTTTCACCTTTGGAATCAACTGATAAACAAAGCTCAGAAATCTCAATAATGAGTCCAGAACATACTGAAATAGTAAAATCTTGAGAATGTAAACATAAAGACATCACTGACGGACGGTTATCAGTGGGAGAGCCATAAAAGTTTAAGCAAATAAGAATACTAATACCATCACCATACATAGATAGAATCAAAATATTGAAGAACATAATAAAGGTTTAAGTATTTATAGTAAACAAAAACATAAACATTGATATAACAATTTAACTTTGGGAAAAAAAGAAAGAAATGAAATGAAAATCATGTAAGTGAGCTATGGTTTCTCACCGTGTTCAGTAAAGTCAATCTATAACTTCAAGATGTAAACACATTGTTTACTATTATGAAGATATATAGGAGAGGGATTTTTTTTACAAAAAAAGATTTTAAAGAAGTTATATCAGGTGTATTAATTTAATTATTTTCTATTTAGTGTATTTATGCAAATAAAACACATTAGATATTAACATTTTTATATAAATATGAATACTATTAATAAAATGAAATATATCTGAAATATTTGGAGAAGATTTTGCACCTAACCAACAGAAGACTGGTATCCAGAATGCATAATCCAAAAGAAAAAACAAGGCTATGATTATATACAGGAAAATTAGATGTAGATTTATAAACTACATGGATATAATAACAAATATCTTTAATATTTAGTTATATTTATTAACATTATTTATATAATGTTCAAGGTTACTTGCAAAAGCAAATATGAACAATAAGTATTTTGTTTTGCTCACTCTTTTGCAAAAGTTTTAAAATACAGAGAAACTAGGAATTTGATAAAATGCTGGTGAACCAGGAAATTTATATCATTTCTACAAGGAAATCCATCATTAACCAGCTGACCTTAAAACTCAAAATGTTCATGCATAGTAAATACAATACTGAGAAACCCTTCCTATAAAAGTACCTTCTTGTTAAACAAACATGCAGGTTTTTAAAAAAAATTCTTTTTTTTTTTGCTTCTATAAACATTTAGAAACAATATAAATATAAATCAATAGGAGAGGCTTCAAATAATATGTCATGATATAGAATAGCATGGAACTGTTATAAACAGCAAAGCAGAATGTTCCACAAAATTTCAAAAAAAGGTTTTTTTTTTTTTTTTTTTTTTTTTTTTTTTTATTATACTCTAAGTTTTAGGGTACATGTGCACATTGTGCAGGTTAGTTACATATGTATACATGTGCCATGCTGGTGCGCTGCACCCACTAATGTGTCATCTAGCATTAGGTATATCTCCCATTGCTATCCCTCCCCCCTCCCCCGACCCCACCACAGTCCCCAGAGTGTGATATTCCCCTTCCTGTGTCCATGTGATCTCATTGTTCAATTCCCACCTATGAGTGAGAATATGCGGTGTTTGGTTTTTTGTTCTTGCGATAGTTTACTGAGAATGATGGTTTCCAATTTCATCCATGTCCCTACAAAGGATATGAACTCATCATTTTTTATGGCTGCATAGTATTCCATGGTGTATATGTGCCACATTTTCTTAATCCAGTCTATCATTGTTGGACATTTGGGTTGGTTCCAAGTCTTTGCTATTGTGAATAGTGCCGCAATAAACATACGTGTGCATGTGTCTTTATAGCAGCATGATTTATACTCATTTGGGTATATACCCAGTAATGGGATGGCTGGGTCAAATGGTATTTCTAGTTCTAGATCCCTGAGGAATCGCCACACTGACTTCCACAATGGTTGAACTAGTTTACAGTCCCACCAACAGTGTAAAAGTGTTCCTATTTCTCCGCATCCTCTCCAGCACCTGTTGTTTCCTGACTTTTTAATGATTGCCATTCTAACTGGTGTGAGATGATATCTCATAGTGGTTTTGATTTGCATTTCTCTGATGGCCAGTGATGATGAGCATTTCTTCATGTGTTTTTTGGCTGCATAAATGTCTTCTTTTGAGAAGTGTCTGTTCATGTCCTTCGCCCACTTTTTGATGGGGTTGTTTGTTTTTTTCTTGTAAATTTGTTTGAGTTCATTGTAGATTCTGGATATTAGCCCTTTGTCAGATGAGTAGGTTGCGAAAATTTTCTCCCATGTTGTAGGTTGCCTGTTCACTCTGATGGTAGTTTCTTTTGCTGTGCAGAAGCTCTTTAGTTTAATTAGATCCCATTTGTCAATTTTGTCTTTTGTTGCCATTGCTTTTGGTGTTTTGGACATGAAGTCCTTGCCCACGCCTATGTCCTGAATGGTAATGCCTAGGTTTTCTTCTAGGGTTTTTATGGTTTTAGGTTTAACGTTTAAATCTTTAATCCATCTTGAATTGATTTTTGTATAAGGTGTAAGGAAGGGATCCAGTTTCAGCTTTCTACATATGGCTAGCCAGTTTTCCCAGCACCATTTATTAAATAGGGAATCCTTTCCCCATTGCTTTAAAGCATGTGTTACAATCATGTGTATTTAATGACCTCATAAATGTAAAAATGTGTATAAGTACATGTATGTTCTGTGTGTACCTGTATAAAATGTTTATCTGTGTGAAACAAGATGTGGTGGTGTACATGTCATCTTATAAGAACAAAATTCCCTTTGGGCAGGCAAGTGGATGTAGACCACAGATTCCTTTATTGTTTGAATCTATTTCATAACAATTGTGTTGTGCATTACTATTATAGTTTTAATCTTTCATAACTCCTATTCCTGTGATGTCTTCTTTCTCTGCCCAGGAGCTTACAAGCACATACAAACACATCTATCAAGAATATCAAGAATCCCTGGTTGACTACTCAGTCCCATTGAGCAGCTATTATATTAAACCTATTGTGTTTTTTAAAAATCAAATTAAGTAGCTTTAGAGAACTTTCCTTCATGCAGTTTGAACATGACACTGAAGACAAAAGTGAGTGTCTTTGACATTGCCTGAATTCAGACCTAAGAAAAAGAAAAAAAAAATCTTTCTACATTTTTCCTTCAGATTACCATCATGTTTGAAAGATAACAAAGAGCAGGTATCAGAAAAGAATACACAAAGGTACCCTTTATGAAATATTCCTTTAATAAATAAATTTTAATTAAGTTTTCTGGTTTAATTTCATATTATCAATAGTACTTTAGTTTTTGCAAATCCACATTTCCAGATTTACCTTTGTGAATCTAAGATTTTTTCACATTAACAATAAAAATATATGTAATTATGAAATGATGAGGACATAAGGACTTTATATTTTCAATCATTTATTTTATAGAGGAATACTTTCTGAAGCTACCAAGCTAGTTAATGATAGATCCAGAACAAATTAGAGACCAGATCTTCTAACTTCCAAAAATCTACTTTCTTTTCTTTTTTTTTTAGACGAAGTCTTGCTTTGTCAGCCAGGAGTGAAGTGCAGTATGCAATCTTGGCTTACTGCAAACTCTGCCTCCCAAGTTCAAGTCTCAGCCTCCTCAGTAGCTGAGATGACAGGTGTGTGCCACCATGCACAGCTAATTTTTGTATTTTTAGTAGAGATGGGGTTTCACCACATTGCCCAGGCTGGTCTCGAACTCCTGAACTCAAAGCAATCTGTCTGCTTCGGCTTTCCAAAATGATGGGATTATAGGCGTTAAGCCACTGCACCCGACCAACTTTGTTCTGTCTTAAAGTAAAGTTTATTATATTTATTTGATTATGATGCTTCTTTGATTTCTTCTTACTTTTATTCATCGCAAAAATCATTTCTTGGGAACCAAACCCAGTCCCTTTAAGAAAACAACCTCGTAGAAACTGTTAAATATAGCTGAGTTATTTTCTGTTATTTCATCTGGTGAGACAATAGAATCATTCCTAGAATAAGGGACTTAAGGTTTTTCTACAGCCAACATGTGATGGGATTTTTTACAACCAACATGTGGTGTGTTATTAGTGATGTCATCAGAGCCATAATTAATATATGTTTTCATAAATAATAAATTTTGACAAAACACTACAATTCATAATTTGGATGTCGTTGAAATGAAAAGGGCCAGGTGTAATTTAATTTTTTTTTTTTAATTTCCAGAGTTGTTTACTCCACAAAATTCTCACACTTTTTGGCATCATATTGTTCACCTTCAATGAGGAAAGACTAGACTTTGAGGAACAGATACAATGTTAAATGAAATAAACTAGTCACAGAAAGGCACTTATCTCACTTACATGTGGAATCTCAAAAAGGCAAGAACTCATAGAAGCAGAGAGTAGAATTGTGGTCACTATGGCTGGAGAACGCAGGCCTGGACTGGGGAGATGTCGATGAAAGCATACAAATTACAGTTAAGAGAAATAAGTTCAAGAGATTTATTGTGACTATAGTTAACAACAACATATCATATACTTGAAAATTGCTGTAAGAGTAGATTTTGAGTGTTCTCACCACAAAAATAATATGTGAAGTAGTGTGTATGTTATGTAGTTGATTTAGCCATTCTGCAATGTATACATATATCAAGGCATCACGTTGTACACCATACATATGTATAATTTCTCTTCTTTAATTAATTTTTTAAAAGCTATTTTGATGAAGTTTCAAATTATCTGCAAAAAAAAAACAAATTTCACCTATAAATCTCCTTCACTTCAATTAACATTGCTTTTTTATACAAAAGAGTTAAATGTTTATGGTAATACAATTTTAAAAAGATCTTTATGTAGTGACAATTCAAGTTTGTCAGGTACGGATTAAATGCAAAAACATTTTACTCTAGATAACAATGAGATCGTAAGTTTTATAATTTTATGAACAACTTAGTGCTTCTCGAAGATATCCCTCTTTATTGACCAACTTTCTTTATTAAGAAATACGCATTTTTATATTGATGTTATATTTCTCTCTTTTTTTTTTTTTTTTTTTTTTTTTTTTTTTTTTTTTTGAGATGTAGTCTCGCTCTGTTGCCCAGGCTGGAGTGCAGTGCCGCGATCTCGGCTCACTACAACCTCCGCCTCCCAGTCTCCCAGGTTCAAGCAATTCTCATGCCTCAGACTCTTGAACAGCTAGGATTACAGGTGCATGCTACCACGGCTGACTAATTTTTGCATTTTTAGTAGAGACGGGGTTTCACCATGTTGGCCAGGCTGGTCTCAAATTCCTGACCTCAAGTGATCATCCATCTCGGCCTCTCAAAATTCTGGGATTATAGGCTTGAGCCACCGCACCAGGCCAATTTTCCATGTTTTTAAAATAAAGCCTCACATATTAAAAATTAAAGCTTATAAGATGAAAGATTGCATTTATAAGAGAAAATAATGGGATTCATCTTTAAAATATCTTAGTTATCACTAAAATAATGTTTTGTTTTCTGTATATAAACCTAGCAGTAACTTTAGATGGATAGATTTAATTGGCATCACTTGTTCTTTCTTGGAAGTAGAAGCTTTTACTTGCTTATTAGCTTTATTTGAACTAAATATTATTGTAAAGAAGACTACATTTCATGTTCATGGAGCACACAAGAGTTTGCAGTAAGCCAAGATTGCACACTGCACTCCAGCCTGGCTGACAGAGCGAGACTCCATCTCAGAAAAAAAAAAAAAAAAAAAAAAAAAAAGTGAAACAATAAGTTTCTATTGTTTTAAGTTAACCTAGTTTGTGGCACTTTGTTATGGCAGTCTTAGAAAACTAATCTAATTGGTAATTTAAAAAATATAAATTTACTTTCTAATCCCCAAGATCTGAGATCTTTATATTTTCCCTAAATTTTGTTTATCATCCTGCCCCAGTACTTTTTCCAGAAAATCTTTTTCTGGAAACATTTTACTTATAGTTCCTTATCAGCTAAAAGCAACCCTCTCAAAATTTTAATATATTACCTCATGAATTTTTTACTGTAATGGCACAATTTTATTATATTTAATTTTTGTCTTCCATGTTATCACAGACTTCCATTTGTCAAATATTTTACCATATATAGTATTTGGTCATCATTTTCCCAGCCTCCTGTTGTTTTTCGTACCCATTCCCACACTATTGTAGAATCTCCTTGCACCTACCTCCCCTGCCCCAAATCCACTGCACATATACATTACCCTCTTTCCTATTCTTTTGTCACCTAGATATTGTCATCATATTTCTGTGTAATAAGTATGTATAACTCCCCTGTTACATATCCAGGGGAGGTGAAGCCTTGCTATTGTAGGCTGGGCTAAGCTTCACTTGGCTCTATAGTCCTTTTCCAGCTCGAGGTTTGGCTCCTCACTGCTAAAGGTGAGCTTCAGGTTTGTTGGACAAGCGTTTATTCTTGGGTCCAGGCATTCAATTTCTGCTACTCCCTCTGTGACCTCATCCCAACATCAGCTAAATTTGCTCTACTCCCAATTTTCCACTTTGTGAGAATAATCTCCTAACATTACTGCTCCCATGATTCTACCCTCCCTCTGTACAATTATTTCAACCTCACTAAATTATATGTCTTCCAAGGTTTTCAATATTCTCCTGTTTTCATTTAATTCTGTTTTTAGCCTAGGTTTCAAGGCTGCTTTAACCACACCGCAGAACACAGCTCCACTGACTCTTGTCCTCTTGCCATCTGCTTGCCACAGTTTCACCTTCTCATCAGAAAGCATTGTATTCATTCCCCTCATGGCTTTTTGTGCTGTGGAATATAAGCACAATGATGGAGACCCTAGCATTTATGATCACATAAATAACTTGTTTTGATTGCTTGAATTCACATCACTCCAGAGTTGTAAAGAAACAAAAAATAAAACAAAATCCTGATCTTTTTTCATATTTGAACATATAATATTTTAGTCTTATAATGAATTTACTCAAGCATTAATGGTCAGTTTTCACCAATGTTTGCCAGAGTGGGAGTTTATTTTTCTGAAAGAACCATGTAGGGTCTCACATGAAAAAATATATATAGTATTCCAAAATATTTTCAGTACAGAAGGAGATGACTGCCTGCCAGTAAACTCTAATATAAGACTTTCCCAGCATAAAATTGACAGCATTTTCATTTTGATTGCTTTACTTGATAAGTTTTGAGTGCTAGTATTTGTATTTTATATTCCAACAGGCTCACATATTATCTTCATCAGTGGATGAAAAGCAACAATCTAAGTTCTATTTTGTCTAGTCAAGTTGTAGGATACAGATCTGACTCCATAATATGGTTGGATGCTCCCTCCAAATCTCATGTTGATATGTGCTCCTCAGTGTTAAAGGTGAAACATGGTTGGATTTCGTCTGTTCTTGCACTGCTATAAAGAGGCTGGACACGGTGACTCACATCTGTAATCCCAGCACTTTGGGAGGCCAAGGCAGGCGGATAACGAGGTGAAGAGATAGAGACCATCCTGGCCAACATGGTGAAACCCCGTCTCTACTAAAAATACAAAAATTAGCTGGCTGTGGTGGTGGGTGCCTGTAGTCCCAGTTACTCGGGAGGCTGAGGCAGGAGAATCACTCAAACCCGGGAGGCAGAGGTTGCAGTGAGCAGAGATCATGCCACTGCACTCCAGCCTGGCAACAGACCGAGACCCCGGAAAAAAAAAAAAAAAGCAATATCTGAAACTGGGTAATTTATAAGAAAAGAGTTTTAATTGGCTCATGGTTCTCCAGGTTGTACAAAGCATAGTTGTATCTGTTTGCTTCTGGGAAGGCCTCAGGAAGCTTCCAATCATGGCAGAAGGCAAAGGGGTTTCAGGCACATCATGTGGCAAAAACAAGAGCGAGCAAGACAGAGGGTGGTGGGGGCTTGGGCAGAGGTGCCACACATTTTTTTAAATGACCAGATCTTGTGAGAACTCTCCATCATGAATATAGCATCAAGCCATGAGGGTTCTGCCCCAGGAGCCAAACACCTTGCACAAGACCCCACCTGCAGCACTGAGAATTATAATTCAACATGGTATTTGAGCAGGGACAAATAAATATCCAAACTATATCAAAGGTGTTTGGGTCATGGGGGCAGATTCCTTATGAATGTCTTAGAGCCAACACTGTCGTAATGAGAGTGTTCTCACTCTGTTAGTTCATGAGATATCTGATTGTTTAAAAGTGTGTGGAATGCCCCTTCTTATTCCCTTTTGCCATATGATATCTGCCATGTGATATCTTCCATGGGATTGTAAGCTCCCTGAGGCCTTCACCAGAAGCAGATACTGGCACCACAATTTCTATACAGCCTGCAGAACCATGAGTTAATTAAACTTCTATTCTTCATAAATTACCCAGCCTCTGGTAACAACACGAGGATGGACTATCACATTCTAGCTGGAGATATAAGATATCTATAATTTACTCTTAAACAATTTTAGCCTATGAGGTAGAATGAAAAGAGTTAGAATCCCAATATAATTTAGTACAAAATTTTGTACTCAATAGTGTGGAACTCAGCATCTAGCAGACAATTATGATGCTTACTTTTAGTTGCTAACTTGGAAAGGCTGTGGTACTTTGTTGTTTCATCAAATACCAGTATGGATGTTGCTGTGAACGTGTTTTTCAAATGGGATTAACATTTAAATCACTAGACTTTGAGTAAAGCAGATTACTTTCTATAATGTGGATGGGCCTCAAAGACATCAGCTTCCTGAGGAGAAAGAAATTCAGGTTCAGCACTGCAACACAGAAATGCTCCATGAGATTCCAGTTTTCCTGGCTTGCCCTTGCAGAATTTCAACTGAAGACTTCACCTTTAGCTCTTACCTGAGTTTCCAACCTGCTGGCTTGCCCTGAAGATTTAGGACTTGCCAGCCCCAACAATCGCATGAGCTAACTCCTTAAAATAAATCTCACTCCTTTGGGAGGCCAAGGCAGGTGGATCACCCAAGATCAGGAGTTCGAGACCAGCCTGGCCAACATGGTGAAACCCCATCTCTACTAAAAGTACAAAAAAAATAGCTGGGTGTGGTGGCAGGCACCTGTAATCCCAGCTACTTGGGAGGCTGAGGCAGGAGAATCACTTGAACACAGGAGGCGGAGGTTGCAGTGAGCCAAGGTCACGCCATTGCACTTCAGCCTGGGCAACAAAAGTGAAACTCCATCTCAAAAAATAGATAAATAAATAAATAAATAAAATCATTCTTTCTCCAATTTTATATAATTATATAAAATAGGATATATAGAGATATATGTATATACATCCTATTAGTTTAATGTAGTCAATAACTAGGACAGACTACATATTTATTGCATAACTGGATAGTATAGCTCCAAAATATTTCACATATGTAACAAATTGCAGAATTTTTAGGTAAACTCAGAGCTGCACAACAGCTGTTTAGCTTCATGTTTTTAGTACTTTCTTTCTGAGGTACAGGAATACAAGCTCTTAACATTATATACTGATTTAGTTGGATCCCTTCACCATTTTAGCATTATTGTCCTCTGTATTTAAACTTTTGCATTAATCTATGGGATTATCAAGTGATCTTAATTGTTCTTACTAAAGCCTTCTAATGGTGCATTTACACAACCAGAAGCTATGCAACCCAGGGCAACACAGTCAGAAAGTATAGCCCAAAATACAACAGGCTTGTGAGAGTGAAAAGCATCAGTACTATCACCATACACTATTTCACAGCCATGGTTTTAGAAAGTAGATATTCACAGAGAAACTCAGAGAGAATAGGTTCTTCTATCATCATGCTTACAAGAAGTTTCGAACTTCCAGCTGTCATCTCTGGCTGCTCCCTTCTACATCCAAATATCAGAAGGGTACATTTGCAGCCAACCTTCAGGATAATCTGATAAATGTATTGCTTGCTTTTATGAAAAGTCTCAATAGTAGAAGAAAGCAAATTAGAAGTGTCTAGAATTGGTGTTGAGTAGAGTAACCATCAGAGTACACATCTTTCGTTCCTCAATTTTGAAATGTGCATTCCTTCTCACATTTACACTTAAAAAGTGATAACACCCCATTTATTCTGACATGATTATTATGTATTTTATACCTGTGTCAAAATATCTCATGTACCTCATAAAAATATACACCTACTATGTACTCATAAAAATAAAATAAATAAAAATAAAAGTGAAAATAACAGTAACATAGCTCTGCATAATATAAATCACGGATATTTTCAACCATTCCTTGATTTTATCTTGCCTATTATTTTCTCATGATTATACTGAGATTATGCATTTTCATAAAAATACCACGTAAGTAATCTGCTCTTCTTAGTGGGTCACATAGAAAGTCACATGCCATCGATATGTCTCATTAGAAGAGATGCTAACCTTGATCATATGGATGAGGTGGTGTCTGCCAGGTTTCTTTACTGTGAAATTACCAATTTTCTTTTTGAAATTAATCAATGTTTAGAAGAACAACTTTTAGAAGTATGCAAATATCTTAATGTTTTAAAAACATTGACTCACTGAGTTTTAGCATGCATTGATAGGTCTTATATGTAGCAATTATTACAATGATGTCTTTCATTAAATTTTTTACCACTCTGGTATTTTTATTAATTTCTAATAATAAGTTAGAAATTGATTATTTCTAATAATAAATCAGACTGGTCAGTAGGAGGTAACAGAAAGGATTCAGTGTCTAAGATGTATTTTTCTTTGTACATATTTGTGGCATCATTCATATTTTTTCTTGCAACTAAAATTACTCTCCCTTTCTTTCTTATCGATCCAGTAATATGTGGAGTCCAAGAAGCCTTCATCTCAATCTCTAGTACAATAAAACCATTACTGTGTTCCTTGGTAGAAACATGTCTCTGTTTGATACATAGATCTCAAATCATCAGATCATCTATAGTCCTGGGATGGAGGCAAACATTTTGTCAGTGGCTCATCAGGTGAAATATTTCCCAGTCTATGTATTCTGTCTGTGGGAGAAAGAACATTCTGTACATCGTCACTAATTTAAAGCATGTTCTGCATCCCATAGGTAGAACGCACAATCTTTCAGGGCATTGCCTTTCAGATGGTATCGTAACAGAGATACCATTTCCACGACACTGTAATAGGATAATAATAGAACAGGCCATTCCATCATTCTGTAATGTCAGCTGCTTCTGATGATATGGCACATGGAAACAATAATGAAACATATAGGTATCAGACCATTGCTTTACTTCCTTTGGCTGAAAAGTAAATTATTTTATCAGAGCCAAGGTTATGTTGAATACAAAGATGATGATTACAGCATTCAGTGATCTACAAATGGTGTTGCTCTCTGAAGAATGTCAACCCTTTTGTAATCAATATCCACTGTAATCAACATGCTAACAGATATCTGGTATATTATAGAAAGTTTGCCATATCAGGAACCTGACATATATCTTTGCTGGTGGTTTATTGGCTTTCAGTGGTGGCAGCAACTTCTATCATGAAGGTCATGAAGGGAAGTCCATACTGTGGACCACATCCAGAGCTAGTTTTTCTAGTGCTATACCTGTAGGTTCACGAGCTCATGGAGCAAAACTAAGGTGCCTGGGAAAAAGGGCAGATCATCCTGTCACTTGACTGAAATGTGATGCAGAGAGAGCATTCTCATGATATACAAAAATCTTCTAAATCTGGGTCTCTTACAAAAGGTCCATCCACTTATTTCCAAATCACGTCATCACTGATCTTCCTATCGTCTCTTTTTTTTTCAATTCCTTGTTAATGCAGACAAACAACTAACTCCTTCTTGTTAATTGATATAGATTCCTATTACTGTCCTTCTCCCCTTCCAGGAAAAGTGAATCCTATGTAAAATTATTGTTTTTTTTCCAGAAAAGTTTTCCTTACCCATTGTATTAGACCGTTCTCACACTACTAATAAAGACATATCCAAGACTGGGTAATTTACAAAGAAAAGAGATTTAATTGACTCATAGTTCCGTGTGCTGAGGAGGCCTCTGGAAACATACAATCATGGCAGAAGGGAAAGCAAACATGTCCTTCTTCACATGGCAGCAGCAAGGAGAAGTGCAGAGCAAAGCGAAGAAAAAGCCTCTTAGAAAACCATCAGATCTCGTGAGAACTCCCTCACTACCAAGAGAACAGCATGGAGGTAACCACCCCCATGATTCAACCACCTCACATCGGGTCCTTCCCACAACACATGGGGATTATGGCAACTACAGTTCAAATTGAGATTTGGGTAGGGACACAGCCAAACCATATCACCTATTGTCCATCAGGTTCACCATGAAGTAGTGGTGTTTCAGCTCACATCAGTATACTATTTTGAAAATATGTACATTAGTCTTGAATTCTTTTTTCTGGTTCATTCCCTGTACATTATGAATTCCCAAGTGTCCATAGATGAGGGTTTAGTTGCCAGTGCAGCAAGAATACATTCACTAAGAATTCACCTGCTGATGCAACTTACTTGTGATTTATCAACCAGCTTTAGCCAGAATATATTTTGTTACTGGCCATGGATGCATTATGGCTTCCTGAGTAAGAAAACATCCATTTCACAAAGAGCAGCTGAAGTTTATGGCCATTTTGTACCACATATTTAAGCATTCAGTCTCTACTAGGACCCAATACTAAGCCTGGGCTTCTATCTCAAAATTAGAATAATCATTTACCAAACAGGTGTGGTTTTGTTCTTAACCTCTCATAGCCCAAATTGTAATTATCCTGTGTGGATCTAATGCACCACAGAGCACAATGAACTGCTCATATATAGAAAATATTATTCTTAAGAAATCGATGTCTGTGGGACAATGTTAATAAAATCTTACTCAATATAATTAGAAAAAAAACTTCCATCTTACCATTCTGTATTGACATATTTGGTGTCATCTGCCAATAAATATGTATTTCCAGCTTTTCCTCCACTGTAAAGAAAGTTTCTTAGTTACACAGCAATCTTGTTCATGACAACAGAAATTATTAGGACATGCACTAATTCTGAATTACCCAGGTCAACTTATCACCCTGGCAATTCTCCCTCAAAAACTTCCTATCTTCTTCTCAAGATTTATTATTTGGTGGCCAATAATAATACATATTCTTTGTCATGCCCAGCCCCAGCCCAAGTGAATGAATGGTACTCTTTAGCTGTACTTTTGCTGAAGTTGAGGGTTTTTTTTAAATTTTATAATGTTATGGTAATCGATGATCAATAGATGTTCTATGAGTCCTGATATAATGAAAAACAGATCACATATAATTAGGAACTGAGTAGATAGGTGAGATAATATGCTACATAAATACTATCTCTTTCTAGATATTTTTAAGGGAGAGATAGAGCATGAGAACCTTGGCTTTGTAACCTGAATTAATCAATAATCTCCTTATTTTCCACTTCCATTGCAATTACCTCATCCTTTATTGTCCATAACACTTCAAATAAAGTTTACTAAAATCTCATTGCATAATCAGAGCACCCAGAATTCATTTTTACCCTCTACCTCCTTTTTTGTTTCTTGCATTAATAAATATGTCAAATACTGTATTTGTCTTCCACCCCTAAATAATTCTGTGTTGAACATTTTATTTTAATAGGAATACCCTGTTATATAAATGGACCAGAGACGATGCCTCCGTATTACTCTAAAATGAGCCCCATCTTGTTTGCCTCTTCACGGCAGCTTAGATTATATTAACCCAAAGACCACCAGCACCAAACTCAATTTCTTACACATATAATTGCTTTAAAGATAGTCAGAATAAACATATTTTTAGCCATTTATAGCCTACAAACGTTGCATACCCCATAAAACTGCACCCAGTATTTGCCAACCATAGGTTAGACAAACCTTGTGGCTATAAACATATTGTTTAAAAGCCCAAACTGCTGCTGCACTTCGGGGCTCTCTGACCCAGGTACTCCCTACCTGGATGCTGAGCTATATCACCTAGGCACATCAAGACCCCCTCTAATTTCCTCTCCTCTCCTCCCCAGGCAGGTCCCTTGCACATTCCCCTTCTGAGCAGTGGCCTTTTGCTGCTGTCTCTGAAATGTCTCTTTCTGTTAGGGACTTCCCTTCTCATAGAACCCTATCAAAGCTCCACCCAATAAAGTTTGTGGTATGTTTTTGTTTCTTGCAGTCCTGTCTCTTTCTTGATCAACCCCACAATCTCAAAATTTAGCAAACTTCTAACCACTTGGCAATTAATGTGCTTAGCTTACAATCTTTTGAGGTCATTTTATCAATTGTCAGTCTTTTCAAAACCTCAGAGAAAAGGGGGCAGTCCTTAGTTACAGAGATTCAGGAGGAAGGGAAATGAGAAGTTTAAGAATATGAATAGTGAAGGGCCACAGGTGGATTCTGTCTCTCAAAAATATGAAGCAAAGCCACTTAGTGTTTGAAACATCAAAATTATTGGTGGTCTGGGAGGCCGAGGTGCGTGGATCTCCTGAGGTCAGGGGTTCAAGGCCAGCCTGGCCAACATGGTGAAACCCCGGCTGTACTGTAAATACAAAAATTAACCAGGTGTGGTGGTGGGCGCCTGTTATACCAGCTACTCGGGAGACTGAGCAGGAGAATCGCTTGAACTTGCGAGGTAGAGGTTGCAGTGATCCAAGATTGCACCTCTGCATTCCAACCTATGCAACAAGAATGAAACTCTGTCTCAAAGAAAAAAAAGATGATAGTCATATGAACACAGTGTGAAAGAAATTATGTACAGAATTCAGACAATAGTAATACCAGACAGACTCTAGTGCAGGGAAATGGCAGCAGAGAGATAAAAACCAATGGCAGTAGGAGAAAAAAAATGTGTCCCCAGATGCTCCCTATGTTGCTAATTACAATGTTTCTTAAAAACTAAATGTAATTTCTATTTGCGCCAGTCTCTCTCGCTCTCTCTCTCTTTTTTTTTTTTTTTTTTTTTTTTTGTAGCTGTTGGCTCTGTGAGTCATGTCCTGAGTTACTCTGCTGGAACAGTGAAAAAAGGAAATTAACACAAACACTTTTGCTTCTTTTCTCTAAAGCACTGAAATAATAGAGAAAAAAAGAAAGATGAAATGTTGATTATATGGTAGTGCGAGATAGAAACAGGAAAAGGATGATTTTAATGAGCTCGTGTTCTTGCAACCCAATTCATCAGTTTAAAATTCAAACACTTGTCAAACAGGACAAGTTCTGCATGGTTATAACTTGGAAGCACGATAGCTATTGATTTTTAAATTTATATTCTTTGTCTTTTTGATTCCTAGGAATGCACTGAGTTTAGTAAAATTTACTGCAACTTTAGTGGGAAGAAAATGACACAGTAAATATGAGAAAATAACTCAAGAAAAATGCTCTAAAAGTATTTTTCAGAGAATTGTATATACTCACAGGGCAAGCACATGTGTCAGATTTTCCAGTACAGAACTGATTATAATATTCTCCCTTTCCTTTTCTTGAGACAACACATTGAACTATATGTCCCAATTTTTGGCTCAGATAATAAAATAGTTACATGTATATTTTGCATGCGTGCTGAAATAGGAAACCAATTAAAACTTATAATATGTTTTATTTTCACTAAGTTTGTTACAACATTTATTTATCAGGCTATATAACCTCAACAGTTACATTTATAATGGTTTTTGAGGAGGTTGAAAATAAGCAATAACAACATTTATTGCAGACACAACGACTCAAATTGAAAACTGATTTAAAAATCAAAGGTAATAACATACTTATTAAGTTTTTAGAATTACTTCTGTTTGATAACATAATCAAGTGATAGTTTAAAAACAACTATGTAAAATAACAAGTCTGAATAATATTAAGTATACAAGAAGGTTAATTAAGATATAATAATGACAAAGTTAATTCCATCATTAAAAGCTTGCGAGTCTTCCCTATTCATGTTATAACTTAGTTTTGCTTACCAAGCAATTTTGAGATGTGGAGACTGATCATTCAACTCTATGTAAACGTGTATATATACAGTTTGGACTGATTTTTCTTTGTGCATGAGTACTTCAATATTATTTGTAAATACTATCTTAACCCTATCCTAATACTGTATTTTCAAGTTATTAATATTTGATAGTTATTTTATAGTCAATACAAGGAGAGAAACCTAGTGACTTAGTCTTGATGAATAATCTGCCAAAAACGTGACTAGATATTACTTCCAAGATTAGTTTGTAAATATACTCTGCCTTCCATTTTACTCACTTCTCTTGATCTCTTATTTGCTCACTCTGATGGAATAATGTGAGCTAGTGTGATGGGAGCTGCCTTATAGAGAGACCAATGTGACCAAAACAAACAAACTGTGACCAAAACAAACACCTGAGCGAGTCCTCTGGCTAACAGCCGGTGAAAAACTGAAGGCTACCATTCCACAGTTGAATCCCACTCACAGCCAGACTGGAAGTGGATCATTTCCCAATCAAGCCTTGAGATGACCACAGCTCTAAGTACTTCGACTGTAGACTTATGAGGGACTTCTGAGTCTGAAGCTACAGCTAAGCTGTTTCAGATTTTTGATTCAAAGAAACGGAGAGAAAAATAAATGTTTGTTGCTGTAAGTCACTAAGTTATGGGGTAATTTGTTATACAGCAATAGATAATTAATACATATGGTTTCAATGAAAGCCTCAAAGCAACAGATAGAGGGCTGTCATGGTACATTCTTTTTTTTTTTTTTTTCAGTGTTTCAAATGCTTTATTCAGTCTCAATAAAAATTATATTACAGAAAAAAAGAAATAGCTATTTTTTCTTGCTGCTTTAAAAGAAATAGATGTTGGTAGATGTTATTTTTTTTTTATTATACTTTAAGTTTTAGGGTACATGTGCACATTGTGCAGGTTAGTTACATATGTATACATGTGCCATGCTGGTGCGCTGCACCCACTAACTCGTCATCTAGCACTAGGTATATCTCCCAATGCTATCCCTCCCCCCTCCCCCCACCCCACCACAGTCCCCAGAGTGTGATATTCCCCTTCCTGTGTCCATGTGATCTCATTGTTCAGTTCCCACCTATGAGTGAGAATATGCGGTGTTTGGTTTTTTGTTCTTGCGATAGTTTACTGGGAATGATGATTTCCAATTTCATCCATGTCCCTACAAAGGACATGAACTCATCATTTTTTATGGCTGCATAGTATTCCATGGTGTATATGTGCCACATTTTCTTAATCCAGTCTATCATTGTTGGACATTTGGGTTGGTTCCAAGTCTTTGCTATTGTGAATAAAGCACAATAAACATACGTGTGCATGTGTCTTTATAGCAGCATGATTTATAATCCTTTGGGTATATACCCAGTAATGGGATGGCTGGGTCAAATGGTATTTCTAGTTCTAGATCCCTGAGGAATCGCCACACTGACTTCCACAATGGTTGAACTAGTTTACAGTCCCACCAACAGTGTAAAAGTGTTCCTATTTCTCCACATCCTCTCCAGCACCTGTTGTTTCCTGACTTTTTAATGATTGCCATTCTAACTGGTGTGAGATGGTATCTCATTGTGGTTTTCATTTGCATTTATCTGATAGCCAGTGATGATGAGCATTTTTTCATGTGTTTTTTGGCTGCATAAATGTCTTCTTTTGAGAAGTGTCTGTTCATGTCCTTCGCCCACTTTTTGATGGGATTGTTTGTTTTTTTCTTGTAAATTTGTTTGAGTTCATTGTAGATTCTGGATATTAGCCCTTTGTCAGAAGAGTAGGTTGCGAAAATTTTCTCCCATTTTGTAGGTTGCCTGTTCACTCTGATGGTAGTTTCTTTTGCTGTGCAGAAGCTCTTTAGTTTAATTAGATCCCATTTGTCAATTTTGTCTTTTGTTGCCATTGCTTTTGGTGTTTTGGACATGAAATCCTTGCCCATGCCTATGTCCTGAATGGTAATGCTTAGGTTTTCTTCTAGGGTTTTTATGGTTTTAGGTCTCACGTTTAAGTCTTTAATCCATCTTGAATTGATTTTTGTATAAGGTGTAAGGAAGGGATCCAGTTTCAGCTTTCTACATATGGCTAGCCAGTTTTCCCAGCACCATTTATTAAATAGGGAATCCTTTCCCCATTGCTTGTTTTTCTCAGGTTTGTCAAAGATCAGATAGTTGTAGATATGCGGCGTTATTTCTGAGGGCTCTGTTCTGTTCCATTGATCTATATCTCTGTTTTGGTACCAGTACCATGCTGTTTTGGTTACTGTAGACTTGTAGTATAGTTTGAAGTCAGGTAGCGTGATGCCTCCAGCTTTGTTCTTTTGGCTTAGGATTGCCTTGGCGATGCGGGCTCTTTTTTGGTTCCATATGAACTTTAAAGTAGTTTTTTCCAATTCTGTGAAGAAAGTCATTGGTAGCTTGATGGGGATGGCATTGAATCTATAAATTACCTTGGGCAGTATGGCCATTTTCACGATATTGATTCTTCCTACCCATGAGCATGGAATGTTCTTCCATTTGTTTGTATCCTCTTTTATTTCCTTGAGCAGTGGTTTGTAGTTCTCCTTGAAGAGGTCCTTCACATCCCTTGTAAGTTGGATTCCTAGGTATTTTATTCTCTTTGAAGCAATTGTGAATGGGAGTTCACTCATGATTTGGCTCTCTGTTTGTCTGTTATTGGTGTATAAGAATGCTTATGATTTTTGTACATTGATTTTGTATCCTGAGACTTTGCTGAAGTTGCTTATCAGCTTAAGGAGATTTTGGGCTGAGACGATGGGGTTTTCTAGATATACAATCATGTCATCTGCAAAGAGGGACAATTTGACTTCCTCTTTTCCTAATTGAATAGCCTTTATTTCCTTCTCCTGCCTAATTGCCCTGGCCAGCACTTCCAACACTATGTTGAATAGGAGTGGTGAGAGAGGGCATCCCTGTCTTGTGCCAGTTTTCAAAGGGAATGCTTCCAGTTTTTGCTCATTCAGTATGATATTGGCTGTGGGTTTGTCATAGATAGCTCTTATTATTTTGAAATACGTCCCATCAATACCTAATTTATTGAGAGTTTTTAGCATGAAGGGTTGTTGAATTTTGTCAAAGGCTTTTTCTGCATCTATTGAGATAATCATGTGGTTTTTGTCTTTGGCTCTGTTTATATGCTGGATTACATTTATTGATTTTCATATATTGAACCAGCCTTCCATCCCAGGGATGAAGCCCACTTGATCATGGTGGATAAGCTTTTTGATGTGCTGCTGAATTTGTTTTGCCAGTATTTTATTGAGGATTTTTGCATCAATGTTCATCAAGGATATTGGTCTAAAATTCTCTTTTTTGGTTGTGTCTCTGCCCGGCTTTGGTATCAGAATGATCCTGGCCTCATAAAATGAGTTAGGGAGGATTCCCTCTTTTTCTATTGATTGGAATAGTTTCAGAAGGAATGGTACCAGTTCCTCCTTGTAGCTCTGGTAGAATTCGGCTGTGAATCCATCTGGTCCTGGACTCTTTTTGGTTGGTAAACTATTGATTATTGCCACAATTTCAGCTCCTGTTATTGGTCTATTCAGAGATTCAACTTCTTCCTGGTTTAGTCTTGGGAGAGTGTATGTGTCCAGGAATTTATCCATTTCTTCTAGATTTTCTAGTTTATTTGTGTAGAGGTGTTTGTAGTATTCTCTGATGGTAGTTTGTATTTCTGTGGGATCGGTGGTGATATCCCCTTTATCATTTTTTATTGTGTCTATTTGAGTCTTCTCTCTTTTTTTCTTTATTAGTCTTGCTAGCGGTCTATCAATTTTGTTGATCCTTTCAAAAAACCAGCTCCTGGATTCATTAATTTTTTGAAGGGTTTTTTGTATCTCTATTTCCTTCAGTTCTGCTCTGATTTTAGTTATTTCTTGCCTTCTGCTAGCTTTTGAATGTGTTTGCTCTTGCTTTTCTAGTTCTTTTAATTGTGATGTTAGGGTGTCAATTTTGGATCTTTCCTGCTTTCTCTTGTGGGCACTTAGTGCTATAAATTTCCCTCTACACACTGCTTTGAATGCGTCCCAGAGATTCTGGTATGTTGTGTCTTTGTTCTCGTTGGTTTCAAAGAACATCTTTATTTCTGCCTTCATTTCGTTATGTATCCAGTAGTCATTCAGGAGCAGGTTGTTCAGTTTCCATGTAGTTGAATGGTTTTGAGTGAGATTCTTAATCCTGAGTTCTAGTTTGATTGCACTGTGGTCTTAGAGATAGTTTGTTATAATCTCTGTTCTTTTACATTTGCTGAGGAGAGCTTTACTTCCAAGTATGTGGTCAATTTTGGAATAGGTGTGGTGTGGTGCTGAAAAAAATGTATATTCTGTTGATTTGGGGTGGAGAGTTCTGTAGATGTCTATTAGGTCTGCTTGGTGCAGAGCTGAGTTCAATTCCTGGGTATCCTTGTTGACTTTCTGTATCATTGATCTGTCTAATGTTGACAGTGGGGTGTTAAAGTCTCCCATTATTAATGTGTGGGAGTCTAAGTCTCTTTGTAGGTCACTCAGAACTTGCTTTATGAATCTGGGTGCTCCTGTATTGGTTGCATATATATTTAGGATAGTTAGCTCTTCTTGTTGAATTGATCCCTTGACCATTATGTAATGGCCTTCTTTGTCTCTTTTGATCTTTGTTGGTTTAAAGTCTGTTTTATCAGAGACTAGGATTGCAACCCCTGCCTTTTTTTGTTTTCCATTGGCTTGGTAGATCTTCCTCCATCCTTTCATTTTGAGCCTATGTGTGTCTCTGCACGTTAGATGGGTTTCCTGAATACAGCACACTGATGGGTCTTGACTCTTTATCCAATTTGCCAGTCTGTGTCTTTTAATTGGAGCATTTAGCCCATTTACATTTAAAGTTAATATTGTTATGTGTGAATTTGATCCTGTCATTATGGTGTGGCTGGTTATTTTGCTCGTTAGTCCACGCAGCTTCTTCCTAGTCTTGATGATCTTTACATTTTGGCATGATTTTGCAGTGGCTTGTATCGGTTGTTCCTTTCCATGTTTAGTGCTTCCTTCAGGAGCTCTTGTACAGCAGGCCTGGTGGTGACAAAATCTCTCAGCATTTGCTTGTCTGTAAAGGATTTTATTTCTCCTTCACTTATGAAGCTTAGTTTGGCTGGATATGAAATTCTGGGTTGAAAATTCTTTTCTTTAAGAATGTTGAATATTGGCCCCCACTCTCTTCTGGCTTGTAGGGTTTCTGCCGAGAGATCCGCTGTTAGTCTGATGGGCTTTCCTTTGAGGGTAACCCGACCTTTCTCTCTGGCTGCCCTTAACATTTTTTCCTTCATTTCAACTTTGGTGAATCTGACAATTATGTGTCTTGGAGTTGCTCTTCTCGAGGAGTATCTTTGTGGCGTTCTCTGTATTTCCTGAATCTGAACGTTGGCCTGCCTTGCTAGATTGGGGAAATTCTCCTGGATAATATCCTGCAGAGTGTTTTCCAACTTGGTTCCATTCTCCCCATCACTTTCAGGTACACCAATCAGATGTAGATTTGGTCTTTTCACATAGTCCCATATTTCTTGGAGGCTTTGTTCCTTTTTTTTTATTCTTTTTTCTCTAAACTTGCCTTCTCACTTCATTTCATTCTTTTCATCTTCCATTGCTGATACCCTTTCTTCCAGTTGATCGCATCGGCTCCTGAGGCTTCTGCATTCTTCACGTAGTTCTCGAGCCTTGGTTTTCAGCTCCATCAGCTCCTTTAAGCACTTCTCTGTATTGGTTATTCTAGTTATACATTCTTCTAAATTTTTTTCAAAGTTTTCAACTTTTTTGCCTTTGGTTTGAATGTCCTCCTGTAGCTCGGAGTAATTTGATCGTCTGAAGCCTTCTTCTCTCAGCTCATCAAAGTCATTCTCCATCCAGCTTTGTTTCATTGCTGGTGAGGAACTGCATTCCTTTGGAGGAGGAGAGGCGCTCTGCGTTTTAGAGTTTCCAGTTTTTCTGTTCTGTTTTTTCCCCATCTTTGTGGTTTTATCTACTTTTGGTCTTTGATGATGGTGATGTACAGATGGGTTTTTGGTGTGGATGTCCTTTCTGTTTGTTAGTTTTCCTTCTAACAGACAGGACCCTCAGCTGCAGGTCTGTTGGAATACCCTGCCGTGTGAGGTGTCAGTGTGCCCCTGCTGGGGGGTGCCTCCCAGTTAGGCTGCTCAGGGGTCAGGGGTCAGGGACCCACTTGAGGAGGCAGTCTGCCCCTTCTCAGATCTCCAGCTGCGTGCTGGGAGAACCAGTGCTCTCTTCAAAGCTGTCAGACAGGGGCATTTAAGTCTGCAGAGGTTACTGCTGTCTTTTTGTTTGTCTGTGCCCTGCCCCCAGAGGTGGAGCCTACAGAGGCAGGCAGGCCTCCTGAGCTGTGGTGGGCTCCACCCAGTTCGAGCTTCCTGGCTGCTTTGTTTACCTAAGCAAGCCTGAGCAATGGCGGGCGCTCCTCCCCCAGCCTCGCTGCTGCCTTGCAGTTTGATCTCAGACTGCTGTGCTAGCAATCAGCGAGACTCTGTGGGCGTAGGACCCTCCGAGCCAGGTGCAGGATACAATCTCGTGGTGCACCGTTTTTTAAGCCAGTCCAAAAAGCACAATATTCGGGTGGGAGTGACCCGATTTTCCAGGTGCGTCCGTCACCCCTTTCTTTGACTCGGAAAGGGAACTCCCTGACCCCTTGCGCTTCCCAAGTGAGGCAATGTCTCGCCCTGCTTCGGCTCGCACACGGTGCGCGCACCCACTGACCTACGCCCACTGTCTGGCACTCCCTAGTGAGATGAACCTGGTACCTCAGATGGAAATGCAGAAATCACCCGTCTTCTGCGTCACTCACGCTGGGAGCTGTAGACCGGAGCTGTTCCTATTCGGCCATCTTGGCTCTGTCATGGTACCTTCTTTAAGTGAGATGCTGGCAAGGAGCATAGACATGCTCACCACAGCTGTGCTGGGTACAGATCTGTGACACAGTGTGATATTGACAGGGAGATGTATGCTTTAGTCCATTCATTGTATCCTTAGATTTATTTGTGCCTCACATTTAATCTACACTGTCAATGACTCTTCAACTTTGTGGTTCTCGATTGATAGATGGGAGATGGATATATAGATTAAATGATGTTAGTTAAGTAAACTATAGACCTCATAGCTGTACTTGCTCCCAAGGCAAAATAGTATGTGTCATCTGCCTTCTCTGTCATCTAACCTAGAGTTCCCTCACCCTTTTTCCAGCTCTTCAGTTAGCTTAGATTGTCGACTATTGAGATAATTTACGTCTTCTTATTTGGGAGATCGAAGTACCTGTTTTTATAATCCTTCCTTTAGAGTTATTACCAGAATAGAAGTCCAAGTGAGTGGCTCAATTTCCCTATTTACTCCACCTTAATCTCATTTTATTTCAGCAACACTATCTCCTAATAATAATCAGAATTAATTACATTGTCAAAGTAGTCAAAGAGTAATACTTTTTTTTTTTTTTGCCTACTTATTCACTAGCATAAGAAGCCCAAAATGATATGGTGATAGACTACTGAATTGAGTGCCAATTTTAAGAAAAACTGCTTCTGCATTCAGGATGAAAGAGAACAATGTGGTTGACTTGATATCAAGTGACTGGCAGGTTTCTCAACAGATGGTGCAATATCAAGATGTTACTTTCTTCTCAGCAGCTGACTGTTGAATGCCTAGCATTGGCACTTGCCAGCAGTCTTAATCAGATGCATCCCTTGCTGTTAAAACCATCAATGGCCTCCATTTCTGCCCCTTGGCTACCATATTCATACTCACTGTGCAAGCACTGGGCAGGTAGAGAACATAGGCTGGATAATCCTTATAAGACAAACCATTCTACTTCATTGATGCATCCAATTGACCAGTCCTTCCTCTGTGGTGGATGATATTTAGTGGCCATTGGCATGAAATACAAGTGTCTACCAATTCTGTGCCTATTTTCTATAAATTACTTCATATGCCTCTTTTCTAGACTACTTTGTTTCTGAATTTCTAAACTCTTCCTCAGACTCTGTCTAGTTAACAAAATGATTCTCATTGCCCAATAGGGTGTATATAGTGATACCAGGTCACTTATTCATCTGTATTAATGGACAATCTAGCAGATCTCTGAATTCTACCTAATAAAGGCTCTACTACATTTTAGAACCACTACTGACTGGAGCTGTAGGACTTGCACACACATATTAGGCTGATCCATCTGTGAACAAAGCCAATAATTTTCTTTTTCCATTATATTGTAGTAGGAGCCACCATTAATCCATACGTGGATGCTGAGATAAAAATTGCAAGATTTCCATGGAGATCTGGGAACCCATATGTTGACCCCCAGGATCTGTCCAGGAAAAATTTCTAGTGATTGCAACTGCATTTGTCCAACATGATTTGGATGAGCCCAGTAATATCTAGTTCACGAGTTGCAGCTCTGACTGAAGTCCCTTCATTTCCCACAGTCAGGTGCTCAGGCTCCACTAGCCACAGGAGCTGCATTTTGAACAATGAGGAATTCTTTGCTGGTGTACTGCAAAACCCAAGTATGTACACTGCAAATCTCTTAATGAGACTTGCCATAGACTCCACTCTACCTCCGTATCTGTGATGAACACCTCTAGCGCTATTGGATCTGTTCTGTCATATGAGCCAAATGACAGAAATTTTGCACCAGATTCTGAATATTATGTGGAATTCTCTCTTGCTCTGATCGCTACTGAAATCTGGGAGCCTTCTGAGTCACCTGATACATTAATCAGAGGAGTAATCAGAGGGTAAATATATGTTGACAAACAGGCCCCAATAATGACTGGGTCCCTTTCTTAGCAATAGATCATGCAGCATACAATAAATTATTTTGAATATTAGATGATATACCATTCCCTGCCACCAGATTATTAGTCTCATGAAAATTTTGCTATAATTGAAAAACACTGATAACCTGTGGAGATTTTTTTTTTCTATCTGTAGCATATATTTGTCCTTCTAGTGTTTCCAGAGTTTCTCCCACTTCCTGATAATACAGCCTAATAGTATGCTGCCAACAGTATAGTGCAAAACAAAGTTCTGAGGAACGTCAAGTTAATCAAGTCTTTCAAGTCTATGCAGTGACAAAAATGACTACATAAAAATCACTGTGGGATGATATTGTATTGTTGTCATGATTATGTGAAATCAAACTGATTGTGATGCTTTTGGAAAAGAAGATATGATCCAGATCAATAGCAGCACAGAAAGTATGTTGATTAGTTCTTCTTAAAGTACCATATCCATCACAGCATCCACTATTGAGGCTACAACTTGATTAAATTTCTATAGTTTTTATTATCTTACCATGGTAAGGGCAGTAAGATTTATAATGACATCCTAGTGACTCCCAGGGATGATTTGTTTACAAATAGTGTTTACCTACCATGCCTGGTTAGACAACCTGGCTTGACTAAAAGGCCCAGGGGACATAAAAAGACTCCATTAGGAACTAGGACCTTAGGCTCTTGTGAAATCAAGATTTATCATACAGATCATTTTGGCTAAATCTGGAAGCAAACCTCATGCATGTGCCAAAGGTGTCTGTGTCTGGATGTCTCTCAGATCCACAATGCTTGTCTGCACTCTTTCTCTTTAGGCAATTTATTATTTGCCTTTAAATAAAAATATTCATGACTATGCTTGGTGGAATCATTTGAGATTTTTCAAATATCTGACTTTGAGAAATTTTGCATAGGGGAAGGCTAAAGAAGAGAAATTTTAATTAGTTGGCTTCAGCTGTGGGCAATTGTAATTCAAACTTGCTTAAAACTCATTAAGAAAAAAGTGATTAACCATTGTCATACTAAAGGATTGGGAGGCTGGCTCTTCTAATGACTTTATTCCCTATTTATTGAGTGTTTCCTCAGATAAATTAATACTTCTATACTTGGAGGTCATGCCTGTAGGTAGACTGAAAAGCTCGTTCATCTCTGGCAAAGCTTCAACCTGTAAAACAGAGAAATGTCTTTATTGGAAACTTTATGTACTGAGTACTGGGAAAATAGTTGAAATTGTTTACCACAGTTCTTATGAAATAAAGTGGACCCATGGGAGCATCACATGTGTCTGCTACATTGTTTGAAAAATAATGTTTATGTCCATATGAGTATGTGAAGAGAGGAGTGAAAGGTTAGAGCCCATGTTAGAGACATTAAACATTTAAGATTTTTCATAAAATAAAAAGGTTTCATTCTTAAAGAATTTTTATGATTTATCTGCTCACTCTCCTTCACCACCACGGAATAATTCCAATATCAAAATTAACATTATTCAAAACTATTTTGAAAAAGTTAAAAAGAATAACTGTAGAAGAGGCTTCATAGGTGAAATATAAATTACTTTTACGTTATCTATGATTTACTTCTAAGATAAAAATATCATTTTATTTTACCGTTTATGTGACTGATCTTGTGTAATTGCCACCCCACACTTGGCTTTGCATACACAGGGTTAAGAATTTCACACATGTCTAACAAATAACAAGATGTGGTTACTTTGGAGGAATGAGTGGGGAGAGCATATGATCTGTCAATTAAGGACAATTAGGTTCTTTCACTAAAACTAATACCTAGATACTGGAGGAAATAAGCTATCTATTTCCTGGGTTCTCTATGCCATGAGAATATGAATCATGGGCTGTTGACCATCTTCCTTATGATTTGGATAAAGCCTGTCAACAAAAGGAAGACAAGCAGAGTAAAGCATAAATAAGACATGGGTTAATGTGACAGTTCTTGAAACCCTTTGAGAACTTGCTGCTGCCATCTAAAATCAATAGTTTGAATTGTCTTAGTATCATTTCAAGATATCTAACTTTGAAATAACTTTTATTTTTATTAAGCTTATTTTAATTTTGTTTCAATTAAAAAATAAATTTCTGCCTAAAATATAAAATATGGCATAAATCAAAACAGTTTAGCTGCAACAAATACAACTATTATGTTCTCCATATCTAAATAATTAAATACTATTTTTCAAGAATCTTAACATGCAAGGCGTTTAGCTTTACAAAATGTTATAGACTGTCATGGAAAAATTGATGAAAAAAGAGACGTATTTAATAGTTAATATGACTGAAATTTGGGGAGTAGGAGCTATAACATATGTCATTGCAAACTTTAATATCACAAAGTTTTAAGGAAGCCTTTGTTAAAGATTTGAATTACTTTAAAATATTCTAGTATACAATTTATATTTTATCTCAGTTCTTGAAGAATTGGGTCATGTGACACTAATAATATATTACATTCATAGACAGTAAGAAAGACAAGATAACAATTTTAAAAATGGCCATGAAAGCTGGCAGTAGACACAGGATATAGTACTCCACTGAGCATGAACAGTTTTGTAGAGTGTCAACAATATTAGACAAGATCCTTATTGCCCACGGTGAAATTATGCAAATATAAGAATACTTTGTAATCCTATCTTAACCCAAGATGAACAAAATTAAGCTATGCAAACAGAAAATATACCCCACAAACCCCTTTTTGTACTTTCTAAAATTAGTAAGCACTGCTTCTTTACCAATTACAATTCTAGTCATGCTCCCATGTCTTAAATAAAATGAACACCTGTATGTTCATTTTATTAAAGTTAGTGATAATTAATTGCAATAATCCGACCATTATCCCCAAATTGCCCACTTTCTGGAGACCATTCAATGCTTAAAAACCGTTACTTCTTAAATGCTTTCCTAAGACACAGCCCAAATGGACTCCTTTTCTCTAAGTCAATTTCCTAAGGTATCCATTCTTCTTGAGGCTGCAGGTCAATTTTGCACCCTTCTTGGGACTGCAGTCAAATTTAGTTTGACTTTAGGTGTGTATCTAATAGTCTTTTGGCACTGGGTATCATGGGTAGACAAAGGTGTGTGTGTGTATATTTTTGCATGTGTGTGTCTATATATATTATACTGGAGAATAAAGAGCAAAATTCATCAGTGACTACAAATGAGTAAAATCTAATTTTATTACAAATTGCATTTAAATTTTTAATAAACTATATATATGTTTTATATAAAAAATTAATAGAATGTGTATATATGTATTATACAAAATTTATATATAAGATGTGTATATATAATACAAATAAACATTTCATTAAAAATTAAAAAATATTTAAATCCTAAAAATTTTTAAATTCCAAATTTATATGAAAACCCAGAAACTTAGAATAGGTAAAAAAAAAAAAATTAGAAACAAAGAAATAATATTAGGGCAAATGCACTACCTGATTCTAAAACATATTTAAAGTAACAGTAGTCATGATAGTATGACACTGGCATAAATAGAACAGTAGAAGAGAAGAGACTCCAGAAATAGACTCACATGTGTGTCAATCGATTTTTGACAAGCTCCTGAGTTAGTTCAGTGGAGAAGCAATCATGAAAGAATTAAGAATATGCCACCCTAGGATTGACTATTTAAGTTAAAGACACTTGAAAAACAGCAGGTGCAAAAAGATTACTCTGACCTTTGTGCTGTTTCCTAAAAGTAGAAGACGAAATTCCTATGTGAAAGATGCTCTTCCTATGCTAGAAGAAAAGGCAACATCTTTATCCTAAAAGATGAGAATTCAAAACCAAGAGAATTCTGTACAGACTCTGCTAAAATTGCTGTTGTCTTTTACGCCTTCCCACATAATTCAGTTGCTTCTTCACAACTAACTCTTCTTTCTCCAATTCTGTATGTAGGTATCAGACTCTAATTGATTCTTCAGGTCTTCCTTTCTTTATAAGGGCCCCTATGCCATGTAAAACTTGTATTGTGTTTTCTTCCTATTAATCTATGTCAAGTAAGTTTAATTCTCAAACCCATATGAGACCCTAAAAGGGGCGATGAAGGTAGAGATTTTCCAATATAATTTTATCTACAATAAGATTTTCAAGAAATGATGCTGAAACAATTGAACACACATGTGCAAAAAGATGAAAATTAATTCTTACCTCACATCATATAAAAACTGGCAGTTTTTCTGTTACATGAAGTTAAATATAAATTCACTATGTATCCCAGCAATCCTACTCCTAGGTATTTACTTAAGAGAAATTAAAACGTAATTATACATAAAGACTTGTACACAAATGCACCTTGTGGCTATATTTATACCAAAAGTTGTAAAGAGCCCACAAATATATCCTGTCAGGACTGGTTAAGTACATTTTGTTACATGCATACAATGAAATAGTATTCAGTAATGAAAATAATGTATTACAGATATATATAAGAGTCAAGCTGAAAATCACAGCCTTGACTGCCTGATGAAGCTAAAGTTTGATAAGAATTGACTTCAAAGGGGCTCAGAGAAACTTTTGCGGATGATGGAAGTAGTCTACATTTTGATTGTGATGGTGTTTACATGATTATGTATACTTGTCAAGCATATAGAACTGAAAACCTAGAAACAGTAGATTTTCCTGTAAGTTATACCTCAATATGACTAAAAAATAAAAATAAGCACTGTGCCAGGTAAATCTGCAGGTAGCATTTAATTAGAAGCAGGAAAGTTAGTGATAATTAATTGCAATAATCCAACCATAAATTGACTAGAATCTAGACTTGTCTTAAGGTAAAAGTAAAAAAAAGGGTCAAATCAAATAATTTTTAAAAATAATGAATCTATAATTTTTATGAAAATATGGGTTATGAAAAGGAAAAAGAGCAAACTTGAGAAATATTTTTAATCTCATGACTGCAGAACATGCATGTTGATAGAAATGACTAATTTGGGAATAAAAGTCACCTTGAACATTGGAGGCAAATGAACTCAACTTTCAGTGATATTGAGGAAATTGTGGGACATTCAAATATTAGGAAATGCCAGGTGAGAAATAAGATAAATGGTTACAGCTGAAAATGCATATTTCAGAATCAGATTAGATATTTAAAACTAGAGAGCAATTGAAATATTTTTTCACTTGTACATCATTTCAAGTATGACAAAAAGGGTGCCCAGGAAGGTATTTGCTATGCAAAATATAATACTATCATTTGAAGATATAGAATTGGGGATCCTAATCTGATTAGTCCACAATTTGTGTTTTTCCCATTCAGTTTCTAATGACATCGCAGACGTGCATAAGCTCTTTGAGGGACATAATGTGGAGTGAGTAGAAACAATATATAATAGTATTTAATAATGGCAAAGTATTTATGTCAATCATGTGATGAGCACTTTATTTTCATTTCTTTATTCAGACTGCAAAATAGCACTTAAAATAGTAGGAAGTGTTATTATCTTTATTTTACATATAAAAAAAAAATCTGGGCTGGCAAGATGGCCAAATAGGAACAGCTTCGGTCTGCAGCTCTCAGCAAGATTGACACAGAAGGCGGGTGATTTCTGCATTTTTCACCTGAGGTACCCAGTTCTTCTCATTGGGACTGGTTGGACTGTGCGTGCAGCCCATGGAGGGCGAGCTGAACCAGGGTGGGACATCGCCTCACCCGGGAAGCACAAGGGGTCAGGGAATTTTCTCCCCTACCCAAGGGAAGCCGTGAAGGACTGAGCCTGAGGAACTCCAGTAAAGATACTGCGCTTGTCCCAAGGTTTTCACAATGCACAAACCAGGGGATTCCCTCTGGTACCTACCCCACCAGAGTCCTGGGTTTCAAGCACAGAACTGGGTGGCCATTTGGGCAGACACCGAACTAGCTGCAGGAGTTCTTTTTTTTCCAGCGAGACAGAACTGTTCACTTCCCTGGAAAGGGATGCTGAAGCCAGGGAGCCAAGTGGTCTGGCTTGGCAGGTCCCACCCCCATGGAGCCCAACAAACTAAGATCCACTGTCTTGAAATTCTCACTGCCAGCACAGCAGCAGTCTGAGATCAACCTGGGATGCTCGAGGTTGGTGGGGCGAGGGGTGTCCACCATTGCTGAGGCTTGAGTAGGAGGTTTTACACTCACAGTGTAAACAAAGTCCTGGGCAGTTCGAACTGGGCGGAGCTCACTGCAGCTCAGCAAGAAACCAAACTGACAGATTTCTCTTCTCTGGGCAGGGCATCTCTGAAAAAAGGCAGCAGCCCCAGTCAGGGAATCATAGATAAAACCCCCATCTCTATGGGACAGAGCACCTAGGGAATGGGGTGGCTGTGGGCACAGCTTCAGCAGACTTAAGGAAAGATCAGGCAGCAATCTTTGCTGTTCTGCAGCCTCTGCTGGTGATACCCAGGCAAACAGGGTTGAGAATGGACCTCCAGCAAACTCCAGCAGACCAGCAGAAGAGGGGACTGTCAGAAGGAAAACTAACAAACAGAAAGGAATAACACATCCACTCAAAGACCCCATCCGAAGGTCACCAACATCAAAGACCAAAGGTAGATAAATCCACAAAGATGGGGAGAAACCAGCACAAAAATGCTGAAAATTCCAAAAAGAAGAATGACTCTTCTCCTCCAAAGGATCACACTCTTCACCAGCAAGAGAACAAAACTGGATGGAGAATGAGTTTGTCAAATTGACAGAAGTAGGCTTCAGAAGGTGGGTAATAACAAACTCCTCCGAGCTAAAGGAATATGTTCTAACTCAATGCAAAGAAGCTAAGAACCTTGAGAAAGGCTAGACAAATTGCTAACTAGAATAAACAGTGTAGAGAAGAACATAAATGACCTGATGGAGCTGAAAAACACAGCACAAGAACTTCTTGAAGCATACACAAGTTTCAATAGCCAAATCTATCAAGCAGAAGAAAGGATATCAGAGATTGAAGATAAACTTAATGAAATAAAGAGAGAACACAAGATTAGAAAAAAAGGAATAAAAAGGAATGAACAAAGCTTCCAAGAAATATGGGACTATGTGTAAAGATCAAATCTACGTTTGATTGGTGTATGTCAAAGTGACGAGGAGAATGGAACCAGTTGGAAAACACTCTTCAGGATATTATCCAAGAGAACTTCCCCAACCTAGCAAGACAGGCCAACATTCAAATTCAGGAAATACAGAGAACACCACAAAGATACTCCTCGAGAAGAGCAACCCCAAGAGACATAGTCATCGGACTCACCAAGGTCGAAATGAGGGAAAAAATGTTAAGGGCAACCAGAGAGAAAGTTTGGGTTAGCCACAAAGGGAAGCCCATCAGACTAACAGTGGATCTCTCTGCAGAAACACTACAAGCCA
This sequence comes from Homo sapiens, assembly GCF_000001405.40. Lineage (NCBI taxonomy): Eukaryota > Metazoa > Chordata > Mammalia > Primates > Hominidae > Homo > Homo sapiens. The sequence goes on from NC_000003.12 coordinate 80,906,935, forward strand.
GAAGAGAGTGGGGGACAATATTCAACATTCCTAAAGAAAAGAAGACATTTATGCAGCCAAAAGACACATGAAAAAATGGTCATCATCACTGGCCATCAGAGAAATGCAAATCAAAACCACAATGAGATACCATCTCACACCAGTTAGAATGGCGATCATTAAAAAGTCAGGAAACAACAGGTGCTGGAGAGGATGTGGAGAAATAGGAACACTTTTACACTGCTGGTGGGACCGTAAACTAGTTTAACCATTGTGGAAGACAGTGTGGCAATTCCTTAAGGATCTAGAACTAGAAATACCATTTGACCCAGCCATCCCATTACTGGGTATATGCCCAAAGGATTATAAATCATGTTGCTATAAAGCACATGCACACGCATGTTTATTGCGGCACTATTCACAATAGCAAAGACTTGGAATCAACCCAAATGTCCATCAATGATAGACTGGATTAAGAAAATGTGGCACATATACACCATGGAATACTATGCAGCCAATAAAATAGGATGAGTTCATGTCCTTTGTAGGGACATGGATGAAGCTGTAAACCATCATTCTCAGCAAACTATCACAGGGACAAAAAACCATATACTGCATGTTCTCACTCATAGGTGGGAACTGAACAATGAGAAGACTTGGACACAGAAAGGGGAACATCACAAACCGAGGCCTGTCGTGGGCTGGAGGAAGGAAGGAGGGATAGCATTAAGAGATATATCTAATGTAAATGACGAGTTAATGGGTGCAGCACACCAACGTGGCACATGTATACATATGTAACAAACCTGCATATTGTGCACATGTACCCTAGAACTTAAAGTAGAAAAAAAAGATGTTTGTGATTAAATAAATAGATTAACAAATAAAAGAATGTAAAAAATTCTCTCAGGCTACAGTGTAATCAAATTAGAACTCAAGATTAAGAAACTCACTCAAAACTGCACAACTACATGGAAACTGAACAACCTGCTCCTGAATGACCACTGTGTAAATAATTAAGTGAAGGCTGAGATAAAGATGTTCATTGAAACCATTGAGAACAAAGACACAATGTACCAGAATCTCTGGGACACATTCAAAGAAGTATGTAGAGGGAAATTTATAGCACTAAATGCCCACAACAGAAAGCTAGAAAGATCTAAAACTGACACCCTAACCTCAAAATTAAAAGAACCAGAGATCCAACAGCAAATACATTCAAAATCTAGCAGAAAACAAGAAAGATCAGAGCAGAATTGAAGGCGGTAGAGACACAAAAAACCCTTCAAAAAAATCAATGAATTGAGGAGCTGATTTTTGAAAAGATCAACAAAATAGGTAGATGGCTAGCCAGATTAAAAAAGAAGAGAGAAGAATCTTATATAGAGGCCATAAAAATGATACAGGTGATATCACCACTTATCCCACAGAAATACAAACTACCATCGGAGAATACTATAAACACCTCTACATAAATAAACTAGAAAATCTAGAAGAAATGGGTAAATTCCTGGACATATACACCCTCCCAAGTCTAAACCAGGAAGACGTCAAGTCCCTGAATAAAGGAATAACAAGTTCTGAAATTGATGTAGTAATTAATAGCCTACCAACCAAAAAAAGTATAAGACCAGACAGATTCACAGCTGAATTCTACCAGAAGTACAGTGAGGAGATGGTACCATTCCTTCTGAAACTATTCCAAACAATAGAAAAAGAGGGAATCCTCCTTAACTCATTTTATGAGGCCAGCGTAATCCTGATACCAAAACCTGGCAGAGACATAACAAAAAAAGAAAACTTCAGGCCAATATCCCTGATGAACATAGATGCTAAAATCCCCAATATAATACTGGCAAACCCAATCCAGCAGCACATTGAAAAGCTTATCCACCATGATCGAGTCAGCTTCATACTTGGGATGCAAGGCTAGTTCAAAATAAGCAATTCAATAAATGTAATCCATCACATAAACAGAACCAATGACAAAAACCACAGATTACCTTAATAGATGCAGAAAAGTCCTTTGACAAAATTAAACACCCCTTAATGCTAAAATCTCTCAAAAAACTCGGTATCAGTGGAACGTATCTCAAAATTATAAGTGCTATTTATGACAAACCCACAGCCAATATCATACTGAATGGGCAAAAACTGGAAGCATTCCCTTTGAAAACCAGCACAAGACAAGGATGCCCTCTCTCACCACTGCTATTCATCATAGTATTGGAAATTCTGGCCAGGGCAATCAGGCAAGAGAAAGAAATAAAGTTTATTCAAATAGGAAGAGAGGAAGTCAAATTGTCTGTTTGCAGATGACATGATTGTATATTTAGAGAACGCCATCGTCTCAGCCCAAAACTCCTTAAGCTGATAAGCAACTTCAGCAAAGTCTCAGGATACAAAATCAACGTGCAAAAATCACAAGCATTCCAATACACCAATAACAGGTAAACAGAGATCCAAATCATGAGTGAACTCCCATTCACAATTGCTACTAAGAGAATAAAATACCTAGGAATACAACTTACAAGGGATGTAAAGGACCTCTTGAAGCAGAACTACAAAACGCTGCTCAAGGAAGACAAACAAATGGAAAAACATTCCATGCTCATGGATAGGAAGAATCAATATCATGAAAATGAACATACTTCCCAAAGTAATTTATAGATTCAATGCTATCCCCATCAAGCTACCACTGGCTTTCACATAATTGGAAAAAAAAATACTTTAAACTTCATATGGAACCAAAAAAGACATCACACAGCCAAGACAATCCTAGGTTAGAAGAACAAAGCTGGAGGCATCATGTTACCTAACTTCAAACTATACTACAAGTCTACAGTAACCAAAACAGCATGGTACTGGTACCAAAACAGATATATACACCATGGAACAGAACAGAGGCCTCAGAAATAATACCATATGTCTACAACCATCTGATCTTTGACAAACCTGACAATAATAAGCGATAGAAAAAAGATTCCCTATTTAGTAAGTGGTGTTGGAAAGACTGGCTAGCCATATGAAGGAAACCGAAACTGGACCCCTGCCTTACACCTTATACAAAAATCAACTCGAGATGGATCAAAGACTTAAATGTAAGACCTAGGACGATAAAAATCCTAGAAGAAAACAATCTAGGCAACACCATTCAGGACATAGGCATGGGCAAAGACTTCATGTCTAAAACACCAAAAGCAATGGCAACAAAAGCCAAAATTGACAAATGAGATCTAATTAAACTGAAGAGCTTATGAACAGCAAAAGAAACTATAATCAGAGTGAACAGGCAACCTACAGAATGGGAAAAAATTTTCTCAATCTATCTGTCTGACAAATCCGGAATCTACAACGAACTTAAACAAATTTACAAGAAAAAAAAACATCAGAAAGTGGGCAAAGGATATGAACAGACACTTCTCAAAAGAAGACATTTATGCAGCCAACAGACATGAAAAAATGCTCATCATCACTGGTCATTAGAGAAATGCAAATCAAAACCACAATGAGATACCATCTCACACCAGTTAAAATGGTAATCATTAAAGTCTGGAAACAACAGATGCTGGAGAAGATGTGGAGAAAAAGCAATGCTTTTACACTGTTGGTGGGAGTGTAAATTAGTTCAACCATTGTGGGAGACAGTGTGGCAATTCCTCAAGGATCTAGAACTAGAAATACCATTTGACCTGCAATACCACTACTGGGTATATACCTAAAGGATTATAAATCATTCTCCTATAAAGACACATGCACACATATGTTTATTGCAGCACTATTCACAATAGCAAAGACTTGGAACCAACCCAAATGTCCATCAATAATAGACTGGATTAAGAAAATGTGGCACATATACACCATGGAATACTATGCAGCCATAAAAAAGGATGAGTTCATGTCCTTTGCAGGTACATGGATGAAGCTGGAAACCATCATTCTCAGCAAACTATAAGAAGAAGAGAAAACCAAACACCACATGTTCTCTCTCATAAATGGGAGTTGAACAATGAGAACACATGGGCACAGGGTGATGAACATCACACACTGGGTCCTGTCAGGAGGTGGGGGACTAGGGGAGGGATAGCATTAGCAGAAACACCTAATGTAGGTAATGGGTTGATGGGTGCAGCAAACCACCATGGCACGTGTATAGCTATGTAACAAAACTGCACGTTCTGCACATGTACCGCAGAAGTTAAAGTATAATAAAAATAAATAAAACAGAATCTGGAGAAAAAAGACAACAAAGGTCTAAGAAAGCATTAACAAATTTATCAAGCTTAACAGCATATTCAGATAGATTGTCAAAATCAGGGGCTTGGAGCTGAGTTTATCAGATCTGAGTAATGTGGGCACCAGTTATGAAAAAAGAAAGATCCTTACGCAAATTATACATAACAATACAAACATTTGCTAAGCCTATATGTCAATTTTAATCTAGCATGAGTGTTGTCCTCAAACCTAACACAGATTTTAATTTCATCTTTCTTGTTTGTAACAAAAGTCAACTTCTGTTTCCGGTCACATATACTGATCTGATCTGATTTTAGTCAAATGTAGGATATATATGTAAAGCATTGAAAACAACTCGGTTAAATATTAAAGTGTAGAAAATTATGAAAACAATGCTTGATCAAAGAATGTAAGTGCTATTTTTTAAGAAATTCTCTGAAAGTTAAAGAGATTGCTTTATGTTAAAGGGAAATAAATTTTCTGTTAATTAATATTACTGTGCACATCCACATGAAAAGCTTTTTAATAAAGGTGAATTATAACTTCAAATATGCTTATCTGAGATTCCCTGAAAAAAATGATTATGAAGGTGTGAGTATGTTGCTGAGTTTGGGGTAGAAACCAGCCTAAGTTATATATGTGTGTGTGTCTGTTTGTGTGTGTGTTTGTGTATATATATAAAATTACATGCTGTAATTTTTTTCCATTTCAGTCCATTATTTCTCAGTCTCATAAAAACAGTAAAAATTGCAACCAGATTAAAAAAATTAAAAGCAATGCATAATGAAATTTGCCTTTAGGGTGTTTTCTGTTCGTTTCAGCACTATTTTGACATTGTATTATCATCTGTATTTTATTACATTTTTTGCCTTTTGCCCTTTACTGTAGTCAAATAGATGATACTTTTTGCAGAAAAATGTTCAGCATTGTGAATTTAAAAAAAGCAATTAATAATGTATTGTCTGAGTAGAATTTAATTCCATAACATTTTTAAGAAATATTGCCTGAGGATTTATTAAGTATAGAAATTGTTTTTAAAAATCTATTTTTTTTATTTCAAGAGCTCTTGTTGGGCTTTTAGTCACACCTGCCATATTTTAAATACAATAATTACATTTTAAATAACTTTTCTTGCAGAAAGATCTTATACATATAGAAATGAAGTTGAAATTATTAGATCAAATAAAGTCAGTGTTAATTCTGTTAAAAATTTGAGAGCTATAAAAGATAAACGAATGAATCGCTATATTTAACACACTTATATATTTCACTTCTGCCTTACAATGGAGTCATTTAAATACATCAAGATTTTGAAATGATTTTGATTTATTTTATAATAGTAACTTGCAATAATATAATTTGTTATCTATATGAAATTTCAGGCCATAAACCTATATATGAAAAGCTGATTATTTATTTAGAACAAAACTAAACAATTCACTAATTCCAAACCTTTGTTGGTTGGAGGTTGTGAAGCCAAGGAGCTCCTTAACTACACTTGTAATTTCTAACTTGGTTTCTTTCGATACAATCTAGTTTAGTAAGTGTCAAACAAAGAAGATAATACAAATATACTTCCTCAGCTAAAATGAATTCATTTGTTATTGTATATTTGTTATTTGTAGTAAAAAAAAATGAAGACGAAGTTGTCAAAGTTCACTTTTGAAAGGTTTATCAAAGTTTCAATTACTTAACATGGATATTTGCACTACAGGCCAGGCCATATAATCAATAGTACTCTGTGTTTGTCCACTGGAAGAACTACAAGAGAAGTGAGAAAGACAGATAGAAAGAGAAAGGGGACAGTAAGAGAAATATAAATATGTCCTGATAAATAATAAAACTGTATGGAAATATATTTAACTTTCAACATAGAATGTTAAAACACTTTAGGAATTATTTCCATGTTACCTAATCTTTGAAAGAAATTGTTTTTGTTAAAATTGAGTAGCATTTTTGCTTTCTTCCTTAATAAATTTAAGGAATAGAAAATGGAAGTACTGGCATTCAAATTTTGCATCATTGATAAATCATTTTAAGATGATTTTTATATTACTGTTCTAATGTATAATTGGTATTTTAGTTAGCAGTTCCAGATTTTTTTGTAAATAATATTTAATTTTCTAAATTATAAAAAGGGAATATTTTTATAATTGTAAAGTATATCAAAGTCTTTTAAATAATAAAAACTAGAAATCCCTAGATCTAATATATTTTTGTATACCTTTGTAATGTTCTTTCCATACTGAACTCATGAACAAACTTAGTTTTCAAAATATTGTGAATTTTACCGTATGCTCAGTTTCTAAATCTTTAAGGCAAGAGTCATATTACATGTCAAAAATAATTCTCTTAAATAATACATTTGACATAGAATCACATTATTCTAGCATTGAAAGTGATGATTTCTCATTTAAATACTTCAAATGACTAAGACTGCCTCTGAAATTTTTAGGTCTCTTGTGAGCACAGTATGAATCCTTACTGTCAATTCATATATTGCATACCTTATTTAGATTCAGAAAGTCTTTAATTATCTACACTCTTTTATCTTTTATCTTAAATAATATATAATTTCATTTTATACTTTTATCTTAAATGATATATAATTTCATTTCAGAGGCAACTGAAATTCCAAATGTCCTTAATTCTAAGTAGATTATATTTTATTTATTTCTGCAATGTTCTGTATATACTAAGATTGCAAATATATAATGCTTTAATATTTAAAAGAGAATTGACAAAGAGCTTGTCTTTTGTTTCTTTATAGAAATACCTACTTGGTATGTATTTATAACCAATTCGGGTTAAAGATTTAAAAACCTTTCTTAAATTAAAGTGTTAATTGGGAAAAATAAGCCTCACTAATAAAGCACTCTGTTAATGATTAACTCATCCTAAGTTATCTACACTGAGAGAAAAGAAATAATAGCTAAGTACTGTTTTGGAGTAAATTTACTCATTTTATATCCCAAATCTTGCAACTATTTCATATCTCCAATCTGCATTATCAGACCTCCTAAATTTGGATGGACTTCCCATGGGTTCAAGTCCTACATGGAGATTTCATTAAAAACACAACTATAATACTTAAATTCCTTTGCTAATAGATGTCAACCAAAATCTGTATAGGTGTTGTAAATCTACCTTTCATTGTGTATGTCACTGTAATTAAAATATCAGTTTGCCTTGTCTCACTTACATAATATATTGACTATATTATTGACTCAATTTCAGGAACTTTCTATATATGGTAAAAGGTTGGAATAGCAAATATTAGGAAAAAAAGAATGAGATTTTTATTGTAATTGTGTTCTTGGGCACAAACTAAACTTTTGCATTTGTTAAGACTGATATTTCAGACATGACTTATAGTCAATATGATGTCTGATACTGATTTCCTTTATATTTAGTTCTTAATTTCACTGTCATCCCAGTTATTAATTGTGACTTAAATCAATCCCTAAGCTCTCACAAAATTTGGAGATAAAGTTTTAACTTTTAAAAATTGTTTCATAAGAGATTAAAAACACATTCTTGCAGTAATCCAAATGTCTCACATAAATGACAATTGGTGTCTATTTGTAGCAATAGGTACTACTCTTAAATCCACCTTGTAAATTACAGGCTCACTATTTCATTAAGTGGTGTATATCCTCAGTATCTAGCACAGAGTCTTACATGCAAAATACTTACTCAACAGGAAAAGCACAGAAAAGCCACATTAAAACAGTGTTACAGGGGCAAGGGCAACTTAACACAGAAGCTATTATCACATCCTTAGGAGAAACTCCCAGATGAGTAGCAGAAAATCTTGATTCTATTAGTTTTGCCGCTTTCAAGATGTATAGCCACGGTTGAATCTCTAACTCTTCAAGGCTACAGTGTCCTTGTGTAAACAGAGAAGAACTCAGAGAGGTGACTCACAGAGGGCTCTTTCATTCTAAAATTTTATGACTTCTGAAATTCGGAGGCATTTTACATGTGTAACGTTATTTCCAATGCATGATAAATTTAACTGAGCATATTGAGCTATACAGGTTTTAAGTAGTCAAAAACTCTACACCTAATTGCTGATGGTGGCAAAGACTTAATTCAATAATTCAGTAGTTAGCTGAATTGTATATTCAAATATAAGCCTACCTTGACTATTTTTTAATGTCAGCTTTGATTTTATTAAGTATGAGAAAGCTCTTCATGCTAATTAAGTTAAATACATAAGATCATTAAAACTCACTCAATGGTGGCATAAATATAGAGAGTTTTAAAAATTATCCAAGACATGTCTCTATAACTTTGGGTACAACTAATAATGTCATAATAAAAACTGGATAAGAAGAAATCCTGCTAATTTGTGTGAGGCACAATATTAGAAAAGATTCTTAGCCAAAATAGAAGATTGACAGTAGCTAAGGTGGAAGGCAAATGGACCTGCCAAGAATATCTCAGTTAACACTGACATTCTTAGTAAAAGTATTTCAAATTGTTGTTCATATATGATAGGATGGTTAAAAGCAAAGAGATACCCAAATAAGGCTGAGAATTGTAGTTTACATATAAAAATGTAATGGGTTTAAAATTTAATACCATCCACATAATTAATTCAAAAACCAAACATAGCTGTAAAAATTAAATGGAGCTTTTGTAAGCAATAAAATTTGCTCATAATTTTAATTGCTATGGAAAAGGCTACATTTAAAAAATCCTCAGAGAAATCTTAGGATTTATTCTCAGAATGATATTAAATGTACATGTTTGATTTATTTTCTTCACATTGACACTTTGAACAAAGTTTTTGTGAAGTCTGAGAAAAGGGAATTAAAATAGCTGTATTATATCAGGAGACAGGCAACAGCTATGTGAGCTACCTGGTACGGAACATGGGGTTCACGAATCATACAAGGAGAATATAAAAGAAAAAAAGTATAAAGAGGTGCAGAATCCTGAGTGTAAAACCAGCTTGATTAAGATAATCTCTAAGGAATGCCATATTGAGCTGTATATTAATGGGGGTATTGTATTCAAATTCTCTACAATTCGAATTATAGAAAGGACCTAGAAGTCCACCATCATTTTATAAATGATGCAAGGTCAGATAAATTACCTAACATCACTAAATAATTAATGCAAAGTTCAAACTGTATCTCAAGACTTCCAATTCTTAGTGTAATGTTCTGCTTTCATTTGTCATGCCTCATATTTTTAAAGATATAATATATAAAGGATTCTTTTACAAATTGCTAAACCATTTAAAACATGTTTCCTTTGGTAGAGCAAAGATGGTATCAGTAATTTCATCTGAAGATATTATTTCCCTTCACAAAACTACCAAAATAAACTTTAAACGCATAAATTGTAAATATAAAAAAATTTATGATAGATGAGTTAAAATGAATTGTAATTTTATCATTATATACTTGATATTTAGAGTAAATCTAACACCTTAAATCTGTCTGGGAAGATTTCAAACAGGAAAGGTTTGAATCATTGGTTTGGTAAAATAATGTTTATATTTCTCACTATACTTTTCTAAAATATTGGGAATCAGGAACCAAAGAGTATCACTTAAACGTACTCAAACACATAGACCTGCCTTAATTAAGTAAATGGAAATAGATACCTAAATTCATCAAAATACTATCTAGCTTTTCTTATATACCAAGAATATTTCAGCTTTCACACAGCTATCCTATTTGTTCAAATTCAATCCCATTGTTCCTCTCTACTTCAATTGTTTTCAAAGGTTAGTTGCACTAGAGTCATCTGGTTAAAACCAAAGTACCAGCCTCAAACTCAGAGTTTCAGATGTATAACAGTAAGTAGGAGATGGAGCCGGTGATGAGCATTTCTAACAAATTCCTTGGTGTTGCTACTACTGGTGGTCTGATGAAGACAGCTTTGAGAACCACTGCTCCACTCTGCCTAGTTCATTTGTGTTTTAATCTACATTATTACCTAAAATTAAGCATTCATATAATTCCCAATATACATTTTCCTATAGTTTTATTTCCAACTTGGGGTGGGAGAACTTCACCTGTATGGATATCATATCCATTCCCTTCTATTATTTAAAACCATGCTATGCTTCAACCTATTAAAACAATAATTTTTAGATCTCAGTTCCATATGATTTTAATCTAGATTTCTTATGCCAGTATAAGGCTATTTCTTTATTTAAATTCACCTGTAGATGAAAAATAACTGTGCTTTTACTTTATTAACAATAAATCTCAAATATGAAATAATTGATATGAAGTAGGTAATTGAGCCTTTCCTCAAAAATTCTCTTATGAACAAACACTTATTGCAGGTCTTGATGAAAGAGTTCAAAATTGGTGAGTTGTGAAGGACAGCCTGCTGGGTACAGTGGGAACTATTCAATCACCTTAGTTTTTCTTCTCCAGCCTTCAAATTATCAGAGATTTCACTTGTTAACTTGTTCTCCCTTTGACCCCATTTTGCTCTTCACATTCTAATTGAAATGTGGAACCAAAAAATGGATTCACAGAGAGTGAAATATATTTTGAGTTTGTACATTCACTAAAATATATATAGTGCAAAGCATGTGTGTTCAGCTTCTGTAGAACTCTTGTGAAGGCAATGATATTCTCTCTTATATAACTCTTCCTCAAATGTAGTTTTTATATATTATTAAATCAAATCATTAAGCATTTAATATTATACAATTGCCTACAGAAATGGAATTGCCAGAGAATGAAATTAAATATTTGTAGATATGTTGAAATCTGTATGAGAACGTCAGTAGCTGAAATAATAGCAGTAAATGTCATGATAAAGATAGTACCATGGGCATCTCTGAGTTCCTGGGACTTTGAAGAACAAAGAAAAGCTCATATTCATTGATGAGTTATAAAACTTACTAGAGGATTTCTAAAGTCAATTCTGATTATTATAAATGCACAGGTATATTTTGATTTAATGAGAAGTATATTATTCTTAATGAACAGCTTTTAAAATTCAGGTTATCCTTGCTTTAGTACTGAAGTTCTAAGAACTTTGTCACTGAAATTTTAAAGAACTTTTTGTGTTTTACATTATAGTTCTTAAATATAATGTGGTAAATTTTCCAGCATTCCATTTGGAAATAAAAGTTAGTAACTGTAACTCCATTATAAGATTAAACAAACATAATTTATCCTGGACATTATTAATTGATTTAATAACTTATTTAAAAAGTTGCATGAATATTTGCCATACACTATATAGCTACTAAATGCTTTTTAGAAGTATATTACTTTTTAAAAATATCTCATTAAAACAATTATCATAGCTTGATTTGTATTATAGTTACATACTGTCAACTTTCCCACCAAAGGGCGTGTTCCTAAAGGGCAGAGCTGTATTACTTCTACATGTATAAAAAAATACTTCATGCAAAGCCTTACACATAGAATGAATGTAAGGGAAGGGTAACTATCTTTTACAGGGTGCCTACTCTAGGCTAAATACTGTATATGTTTATTGTATTGGCTACGACTCTACATAACAAACCATCTCAAAACTTAGTGGTTTGAAACAATAACAATTTATTATTTATGTACAGTTCTGTGAATTTTTCTGGACTGAGCTGCCTTCAGTGAGTCTGAACAATAGTGTGAACTCCCTCACGTATCTGTGCCTTTGGCTAAAATGACTAAAATTCTGGGCTATCCAGGCACTCTATCCACTGGGCCTCTCTCCACGTGTACTCGTATCATCTAGGAGGTTAGCCCTAGCTTCTTCATGCAGACTCCTATTTACATCATATTTGCTGATTTTTTTGCCCAAATCAAGTCATAAGTTGTTATGGGTTGAATTTTGTCCCTCCAAAAATATGTGCTGAATCCTAATCTTATTGAAAGATTCTACTTGGGCTTATGAAGAAGCTATAATCAAGGGAAATAATCACTGATAAAAATACAGCCTCTCACATGTTACCAA